>NC_000012.12:43975279-44126794 GCF_000001405.40 Homo sapiens | reverse complement strand
TAAAAAGTGTTCCTCTGAAACCACAAGGTATTCATTTTAAAATCCTCTTGAGAATAGAGGTCATGTTTATGTTGGGTGTTTTTACCAAATGACCTATTTTTTCCCATTAAAAATAGACTATTCCTTGAACAGAGCCAAATACTGCAACTAGCGCACTGTGTACTAAACAGTCATCAGCCTATGAGAAACACTGTACAATGTTAATATCATATGAAATCACCAACTGCTGGAACTTTGAAGGTCAGAAACCATTTCTGAAATCCTGATAGTTTCAAGGCATTATATGAATACAGGTAGAAGAACACAGGTAGAATCTGACATATTGCCTAATGCTGTAGATGTCTAGAGAATATTTGTTAAATCTAAAAAGGAGGGAGAGAAATTCCACCTTATAGAGTTAAATGAGTGAAGAAGAATTGGAAGTTGATATCAAACTAAACCAAGCATTGTATACATTTATACTCAGTTATCTGATATAAAAGCACATACAGTTGACCTTTGAACAATGGAGGGGTTAGAGAAACTGCAAAAATCTAACAGTTTCAAAAATCTGTGTACATGCATTCATATGTTAATCACAGCACTATTCACAATAGCAAAGACATGAAATCAACCTAAATGCCCATTAATGGTGGATTGGATAAATATGTGATACATAATTAGAACTAAAACATTCCTCAGCAAATGCAAAGAAAAAAAAAACCTGAAGTCATAACAGTCTCTCAGACTACAGTGCAATCAAATTAGAAGTCAAGATTAAGAAATTCACTCAAACCATATACTACATGGAAACTGAACAACCTTCTCCTAACTGGTTTTTGGGTAAATAATGAAATTAAGCTACAAATCAAGAAGTTCTTTGAAGCTAATGAGAACAAAGCTACAATTAGGAGAATCTCTGTGATACAGCTAAAGCACTGTTAAGAGACAAATTTATAGCACTAAATGCCCACATGAAAAAAACTAGAAAGATCTCAAGTTAACAATCTAACATCACAACTAAAAGAATTAGAGAACCAAGAGCAAACAACCGCAAAGCAACCAGAAGACAAGAAATAACCAAGATCAGAGCTGAACTGAAGGAGACAGAGACAGAAAAAGAACTTCAAAAAATAAATGAATCCAGGAGCTGGTTTTCTGAAAACTTAATAAAACAGATAGACCACTAGCTAGACTAATAAAAAAGAAAAGAGAGAAGATTCAAATAAATACAATCAGAAATGATAAGGGGGAATGTCACCACTGACCCCATAAAAATAAAAACAACCATCAGAGAATACTATAAATAAATACTTCTAACACATAAACTAGAAAATCTAGGAAAAAAATGGATAAATTCCTGGACTACACATCTTCCCAAGACTGAACCAGGAGGAAATTGAATCCCAGGCCGGGCGCAGTGGCTCACGCCTGTAATCTCAGCACTTTGGGAGGCCGAGGCGGGCAGATCACAAGGTCAGGAGATCGAGACCATCCTGGCTAACACGGTGAAACCCCGTCTCTACTAAAAATACAAAAAAGAATTAGCCGGGCTTGGTGGCGGACGCCTGTAGTCCCAGGTACTCCGGAGGCTGAGGCAGGAGAATGGCGTGAACCCGGCAGGCAGAGGTTGCAGTGAGCCAAGATCACGCCACTGCACTCCAGCCTGGGCGAAAGAGCAAGACTCCGTCTCAAAAAAAAAATTAATCCCATAATAGACCAATAATGACTTCTGAAATTTAGGCAGTAATAAATAGACTACCAAACAAAAAAGCCCAGGACAGACAGATTCACAGCTGAATTCTACCAGAGGTACAAAAAAGAGCTGGTACCATTCCTACTAAAACTGTTCCCAAAAATTTGAAAAGGAGGGGCTCCTCCCTAACTCATCATGAGGCCAGCATCATTCTGGCCTCAAGATATCAAAACCTGGCAGAGATACAACAAAGAAAGAAAACCTCAGGCCAATATCCTTGGTGAACATTGATGCAAAAATCCTCAACAAAATATTGACAAACCGAATCTAGCAGCACATAAAAAACTTATCCACCATGATCAAGCAGGCTTCATCCCTGGGATGCAAGGCTGGTTCAACATATGCAAATCAATAAATGTGATTCATCACATAAACACAACTAAAGACAACAACCACATGATTATCTCAATAGATGCAGAAAAGGCCTTTAATAAAATTCAACATTTCTTCACGTTAAAAACTCTCAATAAACTAGGTATTGAAGGAACATACCTCAAAATAATAAGAGCCATTTATGACAAACCCACAGCCAATATCATACTGAATGGGCAAAAACTGGAAGCATTCCCCTTGAAAACTGGCACAAGACAAGGTTGCCCTCTCTCATCACTCCTATTCAACATAGTATTGAATGTTCTGGCCAGGGCAGTCAAGCAAGAGAAATAAATAAAGCGTATTCAAATAGAAAGAGAGGAAGTCAAATTGTCTTTGCTTGCAGATGACATGATCCTATATCTAGAAAACCCCATCATCTCAGCCCAAAATCTTTTTAAGCTGATAAGCAACTTCAGAAAAGTCTCAGGATACAAAATCAATGTGAAAAATTGCTAGCACTCTTGTACACCACCAACATGGTAGTGGAAAGCTGAATCACAAATGAACTCCCATTCACAATTGTCACAAAAAGAATAAAATACTTAGGAATACAGCTAACAAGGGAAGTGAAGAACATCTTCACAGAGAACCACAAACCACTGCTCAAAGAAATCAGAGATGACTAAAACAAATGGAAAAAAAATTCCATGCTCATGGATAGAAAGAATCTATATTGTTAAAATGGCCATACTGCCCAAAACAATTTATAGATTAAATTCTATTCCCATTAAATTACCATTGACATTATTCACAGAATTAGAAAAAAACAATTTTAAAGTTCATATAAAACCAAAAAAGATCATGACTAGCCAAGACAATCCTAAGCAAAAAGAACAAAGCTGGAGGCATTACGCTACCTGACTTCAAACTATAATACAGGGCTACAGTAACCAAAACAGCATGGTACCAGTACAAAAACGGACACATATACCAATGTAACAGAATAGAAAACCCAGAAATAAGACCACACACCTACAACCATCTGATCTTTGACAAACCTGACGAAAACAAGCAATGGAGAAAGGATTCCCTATTTAGTAAATGATGTTGGGAGAACTGGCTAGCCATATGCAGAAAATTGAAACTGGACCCCTTCCTTACACCATATACAAAAATCAACTCAAGATGGATTAAAGACTTAAATGTAAAACCCAAAGCTATAAAAACCCTGGAAGGAAATCTAGGCAATACCATTCAGGACATAGGCATGGGCAAAGATTTCATGACGAAAATGCAAAAAGCAATTGCAATGAAAGCAAAAATTGACAAATGGGATCTAATTAAACTAATAAAGAGCTTCTGCACCGCAAAGGAAATGATCATCAGAGTAAACAGACAACCTACAGAATGGGAGAAAATTTTTGCAATCTATCTGTCTGACAAACATCTAATATTCAGCAAACAATATGTAACTTAAACAAATTTACGAGAAAAAAAAAACCCCATTAAAAAGTAGGCAAAGGACAGACACTTCTCAAAAGAAGAAATACGTACAGCCAACAAACATGAAAAAAAGCTCAACAACGATTATTAGAGAAATGCAAATCAAAACCACAATGAGATACTATCTCATGCCAGTTAGAATGGCTATTACTAAAAAGTCAAAAAACAACAGAGGCTGGTGAGGTTGTGGAGAAAAAGGAACACTTTTATACTGTTGGTGGGAATATAAATTAGTTCAACCATTGTGGAAGACAATGTGGCAATTCCTCAAAGACCTAGAGGCAGAAATAGCATTTGACCAGCAATCTCATTACTGGGTACATACCAAAAGGGATACCAATTGTTCTATTTTAAGGATACATTGCACATATGTTCACTGCAGCATTATTCACAAAAGCAGACAGGGAATCAACCTAAATGCCCATCAACTATAGGCTGGATAAAGAAAGTATGGTACATATACACCATAGAATACTATGCCACCATAAAAAGGAATGAGATCATGTCCTTTGCAGGGACATGGATGGAGCTGGAGGCCATTATCCTCAGCAAACTAATGCAGGAAGAGAAAATCAAATACTGCGTGTTCTCACTTATTAAGTGGGAGCTGAATGATGAGAATGCATGGACACATGGCAGGGAACAATATGCACTGGGGCCTCTCAGAGGGTGGGAGGTGGGAGAAGAAAAAGCATCAAGAAGAATAGCTAATGGATGCTGGGCCTAATATCTGAGTGATGGGATGATCTGTGCAGCAAACCACCATGGCACATGTTTGCCTATGTAATAAACCTTCACATCCTGCACCTGTACCCCGAACTTAAAAGTTGCAATAAAAAAAGAATATGTGCTACATATAGAACCATGAAATACTACACAGCCACAAAAAAGAAAAAGAGGCTGGGCATGGTGGCTCATGACTGTAATCCCAACACTTTGGGAGGCCGAGGCAGGCAGATCACGAGGTCAGGAGATTGAGACCATCCTGGCTAACACAGTGAAACCCCGTCTCTACTAAAAATACAAAAAATTAGCTAGGCATGGTGGTGGGCACCTGTAATCCCAGCTACTCGGGAGGCTGAGGTAGGAGAATTGTTTGAACCTGGGAGGCAGAGGTTGCAGTGAGTGGAGATTGCGCCACTGCACTCAGCCTGGGCAACAGAGTGAGACTCTGTCTCAAAAAAAAAAAAAAAGAAAAGAAAAGAATGAAATCATGTCCTTTGCTGCAACATGGATGGAGCTGGAGGCTATTACCGTAAGTGAATTAACACAGGAACAGAAAACCAAATACTGAATGCTCTCACTTACAAGTGGGAGCTAAATATTGAGTACAATGGACACAAAGAAGAGAACAAGAGGCACCAGGGCATACTTGAGGTAAGGGTAGGAGGAGCATGAAGATAAAAAAATTACTATCGGGTACTATGCTTATTACCTGGGTGATAAAATAACCTGTACACCAAACTGCCACAACACACAACTTACCCATACAACAAACCTGCACATGTATCCCCTGAACCTAAAATAAAAATTGGAAAGAGAAAAATAATCTGTATATAATTTTGACTCCCCTAAAACTTACCTACTAATAGGCTACTGTTGCCTGGAAGCCAAACCGATAACATAAATAATTAATATGTAATTAACCTGTTATATGTATTACATACTACATTTGTACAATATGTTAAGCTAGAGAAAAGAAAATGTTATTAAGAAAATCATAAGGAAAATATATTTACTATTCATTAAGTGGAAATGGATAATTCTAAAGGTCTTCATCCCCGTCATCTTTACGCTGACTTGGCTGAGGAGGAGGAATAAGAGGAGGGGTTGGCATTGCAGTATCAGGGGTGGCACAGGTGGGATAAAGTTTGCATAAGAGGATTGATACAGTTCAAACCCATGTTGTTCAATGGTTAACCATATTTATTACAGATTTTAGGTTTACTCATACTCCAAAAGATACTTTTAGACATTGATACGGTTTGGCTCTGTGACTCCTCCCCCAAAAATCTCATCTTGTACTCCCATAATTCCCATGTGTTGTGGGAGGGACCCAGTGGGAGAAAATGGAATCATGGAGGCAGGTCTTTCCCATGATGTTATCATGATAGTGAATAAGTCTCACAAGATCTGATGGTTTTAAAAACAGGAGTTTCCCTGCACAAGCTCTCTTCTCTTGCCTGCCACCATGTAACACGTGCCTCTCACCTTCCACCATGATTGTGGGGCCTCTCCAGCCACATGGAACTGTAAGTCCAATAAACCTCTTTCTTTTGTAAATTGCCCAGTCTTGGGTATGTCTTTATCAGCAGCATGAAAATGGACTAATAAAGACATCTTCATAAAATCTTTAATTGAAATGACTCATTACTTGTGAACAGGTGGCCTCCACAGATGAAGGGGATGGGGAACACACAGTAGGACCTCTTAACTATGGTTGCTATTAAATGTCTGTATTCCAACACCCAGAAACCAGGACGAGGTCCTAAGCAATCAGAGTCTGAACTGTGATCCTGCATCTAAGGGTCAGCAGATAAATGAGGCCAAGCTAGAGCTGCTCAGCCAACAGAAAAAGTCAAATCACCAAATCTAGGGAGGAAATTTACTAGAAATGTGGACATCAGGGTATAAAATCAGACAATGTCTACAGGCAGGCACAGGGGAAGCTAGTAGCAACTCCTGAACTGAAAAGCAGGCCCTCTGGTTACATACATGGCTAGCTTTTTACCCAGCTCCTGGAGCTGTGAGCAAGGGCATGCTAGAAGAGCTTAAAATGGGCAGAAGAATAAGCCTACAGGAGGCCTCTAGATAAATACCCAAGTCTGTACCTGGTGAACCTTATACTATTATTATAGTCAAGCTATGAGTATATAATGCAGGAAAAAATAGGTAGACAGCACCTTTTTAATTAACATTGCTTTGATAATTTTCAGTGGCCTTAGTTGGCCTAACAATACACATGCAAATCAGCAGCACCCAAAATTAAGAATAGAAGACAGCCATCGGGAAAATGATAATTCCTACTAATTTGAAGTATTTTTTTTGTCAACTTAGCTAAATCATCCCCTTTCTTCTGTCATTTCCTCTTCACAATATGATTTTACCTTCTCTGGGCACACACCTTCATGGGCACCAGACAATTGCCCAGGTGCTACCTCCAGGCCCCATCTCTAACCTCTCCTTTGAGTTCTCTCTCTCTTCAAGGCCTAAAGTTCCCATTCTACTGATTTTAAGTGACTTCTTTTAAAAGCCTATCTGGATTTTTCTTTGCCACTTCTCCAAGATACTACTTCCTAGACTCCTGAGCATCCTTCACCACTGCCCATGGTGAGCATGTCCCACAGACCTCTCAGTCCTGATCCATGTTCTACTCATTCTCAACCCTGGTTACACATTAGATTCACCTTAGGGCACTTTAAAGAGGTACTATTGCCTAGCCCACTTCCTAAGAGGTTCTGACTTAATTAAGCTGATGAAAAGCAAATGCATCAGTATTTTTCTTAACCTCCTGGTGATGCTAACACACGGTCAGACTGGGGAGTCACTGACATGGCTAAAGCTCCTACACACAGCCCCAGGTAGTCAGGTAGTCAGGAAGACGATCTGGGGTGTGAGTCACCACACTAAGCCACAAAGGGTCTCAGAAGTCACTACAAAGGACAACTGCAATAAGAATCATGAGCACTGTAAGAATCCTAAGCACTTAAATGACACAAGCAAGTACCTTTGGATAGATAGGAATGATCAAAGCTGGGGCTCATGAAAACAAAACGTTTACACTCTCCTGACTTTCAACAAATGGCATCATTTATTCATTCAGTTGAGTGTTCACTAGATTAATAATCTCATTCAGAAGAACCAGAACCATGAGCTTCCTGCCATCAAGAGGTATCTAGATTGTGCTGAGGTGGTCAGCTTTTCACTACATAAACATCCTCTGCAAGCTCATGAAAAAATGATGAAACTATCAAAGAACAGTCTGTTTCAGAATCATTTATTTAAAAAGCACACAGCATATGATGACATAATTATATCTTTGGTGATTAACACAACCAGAATTTATTTAAATTAGAGACCTTCTGGCTGCAACAAGCTGTCATCATAAGGTGATGTGCTTGGCACACATTGCATTCAAAGTGGAGCATAAGTAAAAATAATTCCACACAAGCTACTTTTGTTCACTCTGGAGTCAGCCTTCTGAAAAAAAATTAACAGTAAAACTTGAATTATGAGTACAGATGAGCTAAAATACAGTTTCATATTACTTTAGGTTATTTAGGAATTGGGGGAAAGTCTGTTAGCTAATGGCTGCATCATATTCCCAAATGACACCTGAGAACTGGAAAGTAAAATGCAAGAAATGTGTTTTAAACCAGAGATGCAAATAAACCTACTCGTGACAAAGGGTAACAGGATTTCATTAATTAAATGGTGTTATAAAAAATAAACTGCATTAAGTTTAAAGAAGTGAAAAAATACCCTGCCTGAAAAGTAGAGGCTAAAGAAAAATTGCAATGTGTATTGATTTTAATAAAATAAGATATCATGTAATACTTGAAGAGCTCATCAAAAACACACACACAAAAATCCTTACTTTCACCAATTTCTACTAAAGTTTTAGGGATAAGCCAATAACATGACATACAATCTCTCTACTTCTCGTCATCTAATAAACATAGTAATATCCAGCCATTCTGAGCTGCCCTTGCTTTGCTATATCTCTGAGGTTATTATACAATTGCTGTTCCCTATGTTTGGAATACCTTCCTTTATCATTTTCAGCAGTTGACCCTTGCTTCTCTTTTAAAATAAAGCTCCAATATCACTTCCTCTTCTTTCCATCCTTCCCCTGCTTTCTAAAGCTGAAATGGATTTCTACCTCTTCTAAACCACAGTTAACGTAGGTACCTAATAGAATTCTTTTGGTTAAATACATGTCATTCTCTTCAAATCAAATCTGGATCATTACTCAATGAGAAAGGGGTTGATCTCAACATAAAATTATTTCCCATGAAAATATTGTCCTTTTATTTATTTGTCTTTCTTCATTTAAAAAGCTTTTTAACCATGAAAGTTTAAAAATTTCATTAATCTATAAAAAGCATTAAAGATTGGAAGGAAAATGTCACCTGATATTCCATCACTCAGAACAACTGCCCCAATTTCCTTCCAATATATTCTCTGTACGTGTTTTTTTTTTAATAAAGAAGTCAAGGTGTGTATCAGGATAAAATGAGGCAGAAGATTTAGATAGATGATATTAATAGATAATTAGGTAGCTAGATCACAATTTACAAAAATAAAATTATTTACAAACAAAACAATTGATAGTCCATATATCTCAATAAATTGGTAACACAAAGATACAGAAAGGAGTTTTACTGGTAGGATCTCCTTACTCAAAGAAGCAGGAGGTACTTAAAGGAGAGTCAAATAATATCATTCCGACATATATCATGGCAAAACAAACAATAATGGCTGACCACAAAGACAAAAACACAGATGGTTTCCAGGTCAAATATAGATGATATAAAAGTGAAGCTCTAAAGTAAGTGGTAGGTTGTTCTAGAATTACTTTCTTTCTTTCCCCTTCACTGGTCAAAAACAAGATATGGCCTAGTTTCATTCTCAAAACCCCTGATGACTTCAGGATCAAGCTATTGCATATTGCTCACCATGAGCCAATGCAGTGACAAACCCAAGCAGAGGAACTGTGCCAAGGGCATGTCCAGAGCCCCAGGACAGAATGGGAAGACTCTGGGGACAAGACCAATCATGATGCAACTGATTCGATCAACACATCCTGCAAATAGTGAAAGGCATTGCAATAGCTAAAGATCAAAGAGGACAACTGCAACACCTTGAAGAAAATGCTACAATTAAAGAAAAAAAAACAGTATGCTATGGATTAGATAAAGCTTCCATGTGCAAACGGCATCAGAATTGACATTTAAAAGATGAGTCAGTATAGCTAAGAAAAGAGAGGTGGAAACATTTCAGGTAGAAGAAACAATATATGCAAAAGTAAGGAGGCAAGAGAGATGATGATGAACTCAAGGCACTTAAAATATGCTGAAACTGAAGTCAAAACTAAGGGATTAGTTGATGGAAAACTAGGGAGTTAGAGTGATGAGCAACAAAAAGTGGAAATGTAGGCGGGAACTGATCCTCAAGAGCCAAGTACAAGGGAGAGAGTTTACTCCAGAATCTAAAGGGAGTTTTCAATGATTCTAAGCTTGGATGCCAGATGATACAGTTTGTGTTTTATTAACATTCAGCTGACAACAACATGGAGATTCATAAGGTTACGATGAGATAAAATTAGATCAGTTAGGAGGCTACTGCAGAGAGTCAAGGAAAGACAAGAGCCTAACTAAGGAACTAGCAGCAGTCATGAGGAGGTGGGGACACAGTTAAAGTCTTTTAAGGGATGAGAACCAATAGAATTTGTAGGATGAGGATGGTAAGAAAAAAGATGGGGTTAAAAGAAATTCAGTATCTCTGCTTCAGCAACTGGTGACCCAGTGGTGCTGCCATGCACCAAATTAGCAAATACAGGAAGTGAGGAAGGTTTGAAGAGAGGAGATACATTCAATTTTGGAAAAGTTGAGTTTTACATGCCTGTGGAACACAAGGACATGCCCAGTAAGTAGTTGAAATACTAGTCTGCACCGGGATCAAGAGAAAGATACAAGAATATTCAGGCTAGAAGTGCAGTTTGCAGTTTGTAGTTTTAAAAGTAGGTGAAATTCCACAGAGAGAAGAAAAGGAAATTGAGGCCATAATCTGAGATTGAGAGAAAGATACAAAAATATTCAGGCTAGAAGTGCAGTTTGCAGTTTGTAGTTTTAATAGTAGGTGAAATTCCACAGAAAGAGGAAAAGGAAATTGAGGTCATAATCCCAGGGAAACCAACCTCAAAGGAATTGGAAGAAGAAAAAGAACCCACACTGTTTAAAGAGAAGGCAGCTTCAGAGAAATGAGAACACATTCGAAGAGTATTGTAAAGCGATATAACAAAGAATACAAGAAAACAGAATATAATAAGAAATTCAAGAAATGAAATGATTGACAGCATGAAATGCTTAAAGAGAGAAAATTAAGAATTGAAATATATCTGTTAAATTTAACATGTAGATGATTATTGACTTCAGCAAGAATATTTTCAGTGATTGAGAAGAGAAAAATACTAACGTGCAGTCAGTTGGGTCATATAAAGAAAGGAGATAAAGACCATAACTGTAGCCATTTATTTTAATGTGAAGCTTGGCTGGAAAGGGACAGAAAGATACACCAATAACTAGGCAACATAGGCTTAAGCAATGAGAAAGACACGATCGTGTTTCTAGTAGATGAAACTGATCCAGAAGGCACTTTATCATGTATGAGGGCTAGCTTTGTAAAGACCTGATTTCTCTATTTAACTCTAAGTTTCTTGAGTGCAGAGACACCAGCCCAGGCATAGTACACATAGTAGCTGTTCCATAAATGCTACTTAATCAAAGAGTAAATGAATGAGTTGATCAATCAGAAAGAATATGAAAATTATAATGACTATAATGAATGCAGACAGGCTTGAAAATTGTAGAAACAGCCTGATGTCACAGAATAAAACTACGGTGGGAACATGCACATCTGGCTTTTCATTCAAATAACAGCAAAAATAACAAGTTATATGACTTCAGTAAAAAAAAAAAATCCCATACTATTTGAGTCTTAGATTCTTTATCTGTAAATAAGAAAGTCAGAGTTGATCAGGAATGGCATAGCGGGTTTTTTAAATTGTACTTTAAGTTCTAGGGTACATGTGTATAACGTGCAGGTTTGGTACATATGTATACATGTGCCATGTTTGTGTGCTGCACCCATTAAGTCGACATTTACATCAGGTATATCTCCTAATGCTATCCCTCCCCCTTCTCCCCACCCGACAACAGGCCCCAGTGTGTGATGTTCCCCTTCCTGTGTCCAAGTGTTCTCATTGTTCAATTCCCACCTATGAGGGTTTTAACTCATCCTCAACTCTGATGGGTTGGTCATAGCTTCCTGAAACACAGTGCAGAGAATTCTGCAGCTCTGTCTTTATTCAATAGAGTAGAGGATTTTAAAGGATTGGCAATGTCTGCCATGTATGCAGAAGGAGGAACAGATGACGCATATGCTACATATTTGCCAATCCTGAAATAGTTCATGTATACAGCTCTTAAAGATAAAAAATTATATATGATTTACGGTCTTTTTCTGAAAATTCATTCATAATTAAGTTTTTAAAGATATTCTACAGTAAATTGGATTTAAGATTAAAGAGATATTTTATTCATAGCCTGTATCTGATTTTCTTTAAAAACACCAAACTAGAATGTCTAGAATAGAGTCCACATACAGGAAATGTGGAAGTAGTAGCATTTTTATAGGAAACAGTAATGTTTGTTCTATTAGCTAAACGCACAGAAGAATAATGTGTTCTCCCACCCTCACCCCTTATACTTCTACTAATACTTATGTGGTGACTTTTGAGCATCCCTGATGCTCAGAGAGATTCTTTTCTCTCAGAAGTTTGTCTTGATGGAGGTTGGTGGTAAGTATGATTGGCCTCACTGACTAGATGGAGAAAACAAAGCACAGAGAGAATAAATTACTTTTTCAGAGGCTACTGAACAAACTAGAAATGGATGTGGAAATCTTTCTTTGGCCAAGCAGATGGAAGGCTTGATTTAGGCATTTCCTCAGCCATCCCAGAGCTATACAGAAAAAGGTTCTCTTGAGATCTGGGTTCAGTACTCCTGAGTTTTACCATTTGTCCAATACTAAGCTAAAATACAGTCCTAAATGCAGAGGTGAGCACCTTAATTTTACTGTATATCTAGTTATAAAATCGTTTTATTTCCATAGCCATTCACTCATTTTTGGTTGCCATTATGAACAGGCACAAGATGGATATAAAGGAGTAAAAAGTTGTCATTTTTCTTTAAAATAAAAATTTAAACTTATTTAAATTTGGTACGGAGGAGGAGCCAAGATGGCCGAATAGGAACAGCTCCGGTCTACAGCTCCCAGCGTGAGCGACGCAGAAGACGGGTGATTACTGCATTTCCATCTGAGGTACCGGGTTCATCTCACTAGGGAGTGCCAGACAGTGGGCGCAGGCCAGTGTGTGTGCGCACCGTGCGCGAGCCGAAGCAGGGCGAGGCATTGCCTCACCTGGGAAGCGCAAGGGGTCAGGGAGTTCCCTTTCCGAGTCAAAGAAAGGGGTGACGGACACACCTGGAAAATCGGGTCACTCCCACCCGAATATTGCGCTTTTCAGACCGGCTTAAGAAACGGCGCACCACGAGACTATATCCCACACCTGGCTCAGAGGGTCCTACGCCCACGGAATCTCGCTGATTGCTAGCACAGCAGTCTGAGATCAAACTGCAAGGCGGCAACGAGGCTGGGGGAGGGGCGCCCGCCATTGCCCAGGCTTGCTTAGGTAAACAAAGCAGCTGGGAAGCTCGAACTGGGTGGAGCCCACCACAGCTCAAGGAGGCCTGCCTGCCTCTGTAGGCTCCACCTCTGGGGGCAGGGCACAGACAAACAAAAAGACAGCAGTAACCTCTGCAGACTTAAGTGTCCCTGTCTGACAGCTTTGAAGAGAGCAGTGGTTCTCCCAGCACGCAGCTGGAGACCTGAGAACGGGCAGACTGCCTCCTCAAGTGGGTCCCTGACCCCTGACCCCCGAGCAGCCTAACTGGGAGGCACCCCCCAGCAGGGGCACACTGACACCTCACACGGCAGGGTATTCCAACAGACCTGCAGCTGAGGGTCCTGTCTGTTAGAAGGAAAACTAACAACCAGAAAGGACATCTACACCGAAAACCCATCTGTACATCACCATCATCAAAGACCAAAAGTAGATAAAACCACAAAGATGGGGAAAAAACAGAACAGAAAAACTGGAAACTCTAAAACGCAGAGCACCTCTCCTCCTCCAAAGGAACGCAGTTCCTCACCAGCAACAGAACAAAGCTGGATGGAGAATGATTTTGACGAGCTGAGAGAAGAAGGCTTCAGACGATCAAATTACTCTGAGCTACGGGAGGACATTCAAACCAAAGGCAAAGAAGTTGAAAACTTTGAAAAAAATTTAGAAGAATGTATAACTAGAATAACCAATACAGAGAAGTGCTTAAAGGAGCTGATGGAGCTGAAAACCAAGGCTCGAGAACTATGTGAAGAATGCAGAAGCCTCAGGAGCCGATGCGATCAACTGGAAGAAAGGGTATCAGCAATGGAAGATGAAATGAATGAAATGAAGCGAGAAGGGAAGTTTAGAGAAAAAAGAATAAAAAGAAATGAGCAAAGCCTCCAAGAAATATGGGACTATGTGAAAAGACCAAATCTACGTCTGATTGGTGTACCTGAAAGTGATGGGGAGAATGGAACCAAGTTGGAAAACACTCTGCAGGATATTATCCAGGAGAACTTCCCCAATCTAGCAAGGCAGGCCAACGTTCAGATTCAGGAAATACAGAGAACGCCACAAAGATACTCCTCGAGAAGAGCAACTCCAAGACACATAATTGTCAGATTCACCAAAGTTGAAATGAAGGAAAAAATGTTAAGGGCAGCCAGAGAGAAAGGTCGGGTTACCCTCAAAGGAAAGCCCATCAGACTAACAGCGGATCTCTCGGCAGAAACCCTACAAGCCAGAAGAGAGTGGGGGCCAATATTCAACATTCTTAAAGAAAAGAATTTTCAACCCAGAATTTCATATCCAGCCAAACTAAGCTTCATAAGTGAAGGAGAAATAAAATACTTTATAGACAAGCAAATGCTGAGAGATTTTGTCACCACCAGGCCTGCCCTAAAAGAGCTCCTGAAGGAAGCGCTAAACATGGAAAGGAACAACTGGTACCAGCCGCTGCAAAATCATGCCAAAATGTAAAGACCATCGAGACTAGGAAGAAACTGCATCAACTAATGAGCAAAATCACCAGCTAACATCATAATGACAGGATCAAATTCACACATAACAATATTAACTTTAAATATAAATGGACTAAATTCTGCAATTAAAAGACACAGACTGGCAAGTTGGATAAAGAGTCAAGACCCATCAGTGTGCTGTATTCAGGAAACCCATCTCACGTGCAGAGACACACATAGGCTCAAAATAAAAGGATGGAGGAAGATCTACCAAGCCAATGGAAAACAAAAAAAGGCAGGGGTTGCAATCCTAGTCTCTGATAAAACAGACTTTAAACCAACAAAGATCAAAAGAGACAAAGAAGGCCATTACATAATGGTAAAGGGATCAATTCAACAAGAGGAGCTAACTATCCTAAATATTTATGCACCCAATACAGGAGCACCCAGATTCATAAAGCAAGTCCTCAGTGACCTACAAAGAGACTTAGACTCCCACACATTAATAATGGGAGACTTTAACACCCCACTGTCAACGTTAGACAGATCAACAAGACAGAAAGTCAACAAGGATACCCAGGAATTGAACTCAGCTCTGCACCAAGCGGACCTAATAGACATCTACAGAACTCTCCACCCCAAATCAACAGAATATACATTTTTCTCAGCACCACACCACACCTATTCCAAAATTGACCACATAGTTGGAAGTAAAGCTCTCCTCAGCAAATGTAAAAGAACAGAAATTATAACAAACTATCTCTCAGACCACAGTGCAATCAAACTAGAACTCAGGATTAAGAATCTCACTCAAAACCGCTCAACTACATGGAAACTGAACAACCTGCTCCTGAATGACTACTGGGTACATAACGAAATGAAGGCAGAAATAAAGATGTTCTTTGAAACCAACGAGAACAAAGACACCACATACCAGAATCTCTGGGACGCATTCAAAGCAGTGTGTAGAGGGAAATTTATAGCACTAAATGCCTACAAGAGAAAGCAGGAAAGATCCAAAATTGACACCCTAACATCACAATTAAAAGAACTAGAAAAGCAAGAGCAAACACATTCAAAAGCTAGCAGAAGGCAAGAAATAACTAAAATCAGAGCAGAACTGAAGGAAATAGAGACACAAAAAACCCTTCAAAAAATCAATGAATCCAGGAGCTGGTTTTTTGAAAGGATCAACAAAATTGATAGACCGCTAGCAAGACTAATAAAGAAAAAAAGAGAGAAGAATCAAATAGACACAATAAAAAATGAAAAAGGGGATATCACCACCGATCCCACAGAAATACAAACTACCATCAGAGAATACTACAAACACCTCTACGCAAATAAACTAGAAAATCTAGAAGAAATGGATACATTCCTCGACACATACACTCTCCCAAGACTAAACCAGGAAGAAGTTGAATCTCTGAATAGACCAATAACAGGCTCTGAAATTGTGGCAATAATCAATAGTTTACCAACCAAAAAGAGTCCAGGACCAGATGGATTCACAGCCGAATTCTACCAGAGGTACAAGGAGGAACTGGTACCATTCCTTCTGAAACTATTCCAATCAATAGAAAAAGAGGGAATCCTCCCTAACTCATTTTATGAGGCCAGCATCATTCTGATACCAAAGCCGGGCAGAGACACAACCAAAAAAGAGAATTTTAGACCAATATCCTTGATGAACATTGATGCAAAAATCCTCAATAAAATACTGGCAAACCGAATCCAGCAGCACATCAAAAAGCTTATCCACCATGATCAAGTGGGCTTCATCCCTGGGATGCAAGGCTGGTTCAATATACGCAAATCAATAAATGTAATCCAGCATATAAACAGAGCCAAAGACAAAAACCACATGATTATCTCAATAGATGCAGAAAAAGCCTTTGACAAAATTCAACAACCCTTCATGCTAAAAACTCTCAATAAATTAGGTATTGATGGGACGTATTTCAAAATAATAAGAGCTATCTATGACAAACCCACAGCCAATATCATACTGAATGGGCAAAAACTGGAAGCATTCCCTTTGAAAACTGGCACAAGACAGGGATGCCCTCTCACTGCTCCTATTCAACATAGTGTTGGAAGTTCTGGCCAGGGCAATCAGGCAGGAGAAGGAAATAAAGGGTATTCAATTAGGAAAAGAGGAAGTCAAATTGTCCCTGTTTGCAGATGACATGATTGTTTATCTAGAAAACCCCATCGTCTCAGCCCAAAATCTCCTTAAGCTGATAAGCAACTTCAGCAAAGTCTCAGGATACAAAATCAATGTACAAAAATCACAAGCATTCTTATACACCAACAACAGACAAACAGAGAGCCAAATCATGGGTGAACTCCCATTCACAATTGCTTCCAAGAGAATAAAATACCTAGGAATCCAACTTACAAGGGATGTGAAGGACCTCTTCAAGGAGAACTACAAACCACTGCTCAAGGAAATAAAAGAGGACACAAACAAATGGAAGAACATTCCATGCTCATGGGTAGGAAGAATCAATATCGTGAAAATGGCCATACTGCCCAAGGTAATTTATAGATTCAATGCCATCCCCATCAAGCTACCAATGACTTTCTTCACAGAATTGGAAAAAACTACTTTAAAGTTCATATGGAACCAAAAAAGAGCCCGCATTGCCAAGTCAATCCTAAGCCAAAAGAACAAAGCTGGAGGCATCACACTACTTGACTTCAAACTATACTACAAGGCTACAGTAACCAAAACAGCATGGTACTGGTACCAAAACAGAGATATAGATCAATGGAACAGAACAGAGCCCTCAGAAATAATGCCGCATATCTACAACTATCTGATCTTTGACAAACCTGAGAAAAACAAGCAATGGGGAAAGGATTCCCTATTTAATAAATGGTGCTGGGAAAACTGGCTAGCCATATGTAGAAAGCTGAAACTGGATCCCTTCCTTACACCTTATACAAAAATCAATTCAAGATGGATTAAAGATTTAAACGTTAAACCTAAAACCATAAAAACCCTAGAAGAAAACCTAGGCATTACCATTCAGGACATAGGCGTGGGCAAGGACTTCATGTCCAAAACACCAAAAGCAATGGCAACAAAAGACAAAATTGACAAATGGGATCTAATTAAACTAAAGAGCTTCTGCACAGCAAAAGAAACTACCATCAGAGTGAACAGGCAACCTACAACATGGGAGAAAATTTTCGCAACCTACTCATCTGACAAAGGGCTAATATCCAGAATCTACAATGAACTCAAACAAATTTACAAGAAAAAAACAAACAACCCCATCAAAAAGTGGGCGAAGGACATGAACAGACACTTCTCAAAAGAAGACATTTATGCAGCCAAAAAACACATGAAAAAATGCTCATCATCACTGGCCATCAGAGAAATGCAAATCAAAACCACTATGAGATATCATCTCACACCAGTTAGAATGGCAATCATTAAAAAGTCAGGAAACAACAGGTGCTGGAGAGGACGTGGAGAAATAGGAACACTTTTACACTGTTGGTGGGACTGTAAACTAGTTCAACCATTGTGGAAGTCAGTGTGGCGATTCCTCAGGGATCTAGAACTAGAAATACCATTTGACCCAGCCATCCCATTACTGGGTATATACCCAAAGGACTATAAATCATGCTGCTATAAAGACACATGCACATGTATGTTTATTGCGGCACTATTCACAATAGCAAAGACTTGGAACCAACCCAAATGTCCAACAATGATAGACTGGATTAAGAAAATGTGGCATATATACACCATGGAATACTATGCAGCCATAAAAAATGATGAGTTCATATCCTTTGTAGGGACATGGATGAAATTGGAAACCATCATTCTCAGTAAACTATCGCAAGAACAAAAAACCAAACACCGCATATTCTCACTCATAGGTGGGAATTGAACAATGAGATCACATGGACACAGGAAGGGGAATATCACACTCTGGGGACTGTGGTGGGGTCGGGGGAGGGGGGAGGGATAGCATTGGGAGATATACCTAATGCTAGATGACACATTAGTGGGTGCAGCGCACCAGCATGGCACATGTATACATATGTAACTAACCTGCACAATGTGCACATGTACCCTAAAACTTAGAGTATAATAAAAAATAAATAAATAAATAAATAAATTTGGTACAAGTGATTAGTGGAACAGGTAAAGAAAGAGATGAAGTAAACTATCCCTTTTAAATTCACTTTAGCAGATGTGCTCATCAAATGTCAACAGATCTGTGGAAGTATAGTCTAAACTGTTGAGAAGATCTTACTCATTTTACTAAAAAGTATCAGAATGAAAAATAAGCAAACAAAGTTACAGATGAAAATAAACAAACATACAAAGGGTTTATTTGGTCTGTAGAAGCCAGGTCAGATACTGGTGGCTCTTTTGCTGTGTTATTCAATTGGTTCAGTGCAGGACATGAGCAACTTTTAAAAGCCCTGTTCCACAATGACTGCATACTACTTTTCCAGAATATGAAAACAAAAAGTTTTGTGGATATAATTTTTGCCATCTGTCCACAAAGAAAACAAAGTTGCTTTCTGAAAAGTTGATTTGAAAACTGTACATTTTAAAATGATCATGAAAGAAGTAAAATAATGTTTCTTGTGGAGTAAATATTATGTAAATTCATAATTGGAGGCTGATTAAATACCATTGAAATATTTTATATATTCTTCATTAGAAATAGTCGAAAAATTAAAAATTCAGTCTGTGCTGTTTACCCTTCATTACTATATGTTAATTTTTAACATTAAAATTATATGTTTCCTATCTCCATGTCAACTCACATTAAAATACAGTGACACAGTGAATGAGTCTTCAATTAAATGTGACAATGCTCTTAAACCACTGTGCAATAAAGCACGAAGAGTCTAGGTTCTAAGTGAATTTTTATTTCTCTTCTAAAAAAGTAGATAATGTAAACCTGAGACTAATTTTTCCTCTCTTTTGATGCTGGTCACAAATAAATGTTTCTTAAAAGAGAATGTGTTAATTGGACAAATATACATGGAGTTATTTTTAACACTGTGAGCCCTGGAGCCAAGGAGGCTAGGTTCAAATCCTTGCCCCATATCTTACTAACCCTGGGAAATAAGAGAAAGTTAATTTTTAACTTCAATTTTCTTAGTTTTACAGTAGAAATTGATGATAGTTTATATATAAGGTTATTTTGAGAACTAAGTGAGATAATTTATTGTAAAGCACTTAAACTTTGTGCCTGACCTCTACTAAGTACTCAATAAATTGAGTATTGTTCGTTTTTAAAATTATACCATCATCAACTTTATTGACGGACAGCCAAATAATCATTCATCCTCACTGCTATCTGAAGGATGACCTCTTATGAATGCAATGTTAGTAGTATAATAGCAATAAAACAGAAAAGAGATTAAAAAATAAAAAAGTACTTTATAAACTCTGTTTTACATAGGAAATATATGTATACATTTCCATGAAAGAAACTAAGCTCAAAAATAAGAAAGAAATATTCAATGTACTATTCACTGTAATTGGAATTCATCTTTTATTCCACATGTGAAATACTCAATATCTGTAACTCTGTGGTATCAATTATTTAGATTATGTAATCTATAGAAGAATTTTTCTGTGATTCAGATGTATTTTCCCAGATACATAATTTTGTTTAATTTTTTATTAAAAATTGACAAATTATATTTGTATATATTTATGGAGTACAAAGTGATGTTATATGTATACAATATATTATTGTTAAATACAGTTACTATGCTGTGCAATAGATCTCAAAAATTTATTTCTCCTGTTTAACTGAAACTTAATACTCTTTGTACCAATAAGCACCCAGATATATAATTGTTATTCAAAGTAATAACCATATATAATTGTCACTCAGAGCAAAAGACCAACTGTAACAGCTAAAATACATTTTTTAATTGGAGTTCAATTTTTTTAAATTTTAGATTCCATCCCTTATGTTTGTGTTTGACCTCAAGCAAGTTACTCAGCCTTGTTGAAAACTGCCTGCTTTCATATATTTAAATATAAATAATAGACAAGGTTTTCAGTTCACCAGGCTCCTCTTTCAGACTGGAGCTGGGAAGTCATTACACCATCCTAACAGCAAGTTAAAAAAGGTGAACAAGCCAAGAAATCAACAACTCTTCTTGGATTTGTCAGAGAAGTGCAAGCTGCTGCCCCCAAAACTGGAAAGACAGACAGGTGAATACAGAAAATTGCAACTTAGAAGAAACCCTTAAGTAGAAACCTCTGAGGGAACCAGTGCCAGGACAGAAAAACCTGAACTGTAATTGATAAATTGCTAGAGGCTCGGTATGGACACATCTGAGAGTTAAAATCTCCACAGGGAGCAAGTCATAGAAAGGTACCGAAATTTAGAAGTTTTACTTCCTGGAACTCTACCAGGTTCTCAGAGTGAAAATTGCTTTAAAACACCCTTATACTTTCAGCAGGGGAAAACACTCCTTTTGGAATATGACAGAGCGCTCTGCTCTTCACGAGACCTGCCCTCAAGAGAAACTGTTTTATGATGCCTAACCTTATTGGGATTTGATCAGAGCCTATCTGACCTGGGGAAGGGAAATACCCAACTCTAGACCCCTCCACCCATCCTGTCCCACCCAGGGGCCAGGAGGTTGGTGAAGGAGACTAAAAAGCACTTTTCAAGTTCACAGTCCAAGGCTAAAACACTGAGACCTAACCATAGGGCTATAGAACATTTCCCCTCTTCCCACACCTTACTACCACATTAGTAAAGGCCGATTTACTGCAGTTTCTCTTATCCAATGCATGATTACCAGGTATACTAAAAAGCAAAAAAAAACACACTTTGAAGAAATGGACAAGCATCAGAATCAGAGTCAAATATGGCAGGAACGCTGGAATTATCAAGCCAGAAATTTTCTTTAAGAACTTTGATTAATATTCTAAAGATTCTAATAGAGAAAGTAGACAACATGCAAGAATAAATGTGTAATGTAAGCAGAGAGATAGAAATAATTTAAAAATTCTAGAGATCAAAACCAGTGTAACAGAAATGAAGACTGCCTGTGATGAGCTCCTTAGTAAACTAGGAACACTTGAGGAAAGACTCTCTGTGCTTGAGGCTATGTCAATAGAAACTTACCATATTGAAAATCAAAGGGAAAAAAGACTGAAAAAAAATCAAACAGAACATCCAAAAACTATGGAACAACTATAAAAGGTGTAATGTAAGCTTAGTGGGACTAACAGAAAGAGAAAGAGAGAAAGGAACAGAAGAAATATATGAAGCAATAATGATGGAGAATTTTCCCAAATTAATGTCAGACACCAAACCACAGATCCAGGAAGCTCAGAAAACACCAAGCAGGATCAATGTCAAAAGTCTACATCTAGGCATATCATATTCAAACTATAGAAAATATATTTTTTAAAAATCTTGAAAGAACCCAGGGGAAAAAAATACCTTACCTACAGAGGTGTAAAGATAAGAATTACATCTAACTTCTCCTCAGAAGCCATACAGCAAGAAGATAGTGGAGTGAAATGTTAAAAGCATTGAGAGAAAAAATAACACCAGTCTAGAATTCTGTACCCTGCAAAGTTATTCTTCAAAAGTGAATGAGAATAAAGACATTCACAGATGAACAAAAATGGAGGGAATTTGTTGCCAGTAGACCTGCCTTGCAAGAAATGTTAAAAGTTGTTCTTCAGAGAGAAGAAAAAGTATATAGGTCAGAAACTCAGAGCCACATAAAGGAAAAGTGTTGGAGAAAGAAAATAAGTTAAGGAAAATTGGAGATAATAATACCAGTCACAGGACCTTTGTGGGACTTAAATAAGTTTACATAAATAAGGTAATTTACTAACTCACCAAGCGAGCAAATGGTAGGTGCTCAATAAATATTTATGACAGGAAAAAAAACCCTAATTACCAGTTGACTGAAACATTTAAGCTTGATATAATTTTGATTGATGAGATTGTGTATGCTCAAAATATTTGTTAAAAAAATAAAGGGAAGGAGGAGTGGAGAGAGAAAAAACAAGAATGGAGAGATGAAGGGAGGGAGGAAACCCAAAGCTATAATTTAAATGACCTTATATTCCTGTTATAGTTAATATACTAATTAATCATTCTACTTTATAGCAACAATATTTACATTCAATTCCAAATAAGTTTTCCAGGATAGCTTCCATTTAACAGCATCTGTTGAAATAGTAGTAATGAGTGATCATTTACAAACTGTTAACTCCATATCTTGCTTATAATGACCACTGCTCCTCTCTCTTGCTTTCCAGAAGTGCCAATTTCACTCTTCTTATTAGAGTTTATACTGTAAAGTTTTAATTCAGGGGTTTGTTGATTCACAATGAAACTGCGATAATGAACATTACATAGTTCTCTTCAACTATGACATGAAAGTTAGTGAGAAAAAAAACAGGAACAAAATTCAATTATCTATATGTTTTAAAAGTGCTTGAGGGGGAAATCTAGTGAAGACTAGATAAAAAGTCAAAGATGAGATATTGTAGCTTCTCAAGAGAAAAGAAAAAGAAAAATGATGGTATCGACTCAGCCATGTGACTTTCCCACAAATAATACAAGTTTAACATTTGTCACCTCATAGTTGTGTGGATTCCAGTAGCAAGTGCTGGGATCCATCAGCATGCAAAGTTTCAGGACTGCATCCTTGAGGAGCCAATCTCAGTAAATGATGAAATCTGCCCCCAAAAGGCTAAACATTAAAAAGGAATGAGAAGAACTGAAAAAAAGTAATAGAGGAGAAATAGGAAGCAAAGTTAATGAGAGACAGATTGCCACCAACATCATCAAAAGAAAGGCAGGAAGTACACACATAGGTAGAAAGATAATATAAGAAACAAGTACAACCTACTAAATGCAAGGGTTAGAAATTGAACCTACAAATATATACCTCAAAGTTCAGCAGGGCATTCTGTGGTGCTTCTTGCTCCCCAGAGTAATGGTACTGATTAATGTCCTCTTCCCTCAGACTTCATTACAATACCATGTAATGAAGGAACTTTATAGTTAACTGGCAAAAATATGTTGTCCATAAGTTACAGGAAAAATTCCTCTCAAAAAAAAAAAAAGATATGGAGTTATGCTGAGAAAAGTGCAGAAGAAAGAAGACCTTATAAAGTAATGTAAAGTAAGTGATCATAAAAATGCCTCTCTCCTTAACTCTACAGAAATAAAAATTTTCCTTTGTATTAGTCTATTCTCACACTGCTAATAAAGACATTCCAGGACTGGGTAATTTATAAAGGAAAGAGGTTTAATTGACTCCCAGTTCAGCATGGCTGGGGAGGCCTCAGGAAACTTACAATCATGGCGGAAGGGGAAGCAAACATGTCCTTCTTCACATGGCAGTGGCAAGGAAAAGTGCAGAGCAAAGGAGGGAAAATCTCCTTATAAAACCATCAGATCTCGTGAGAAGTCATTCACTATCACAAGAACAGCATGGAGGTAACCACTCCCATGATTCAATTACCTCCCACTGGGTCCCTCCCACAACAAGTGGGGATTATGGAAACTACAGTTTAAGATGAGATTTGGGTGGGGACACAGCCAAACCATATCATCCTCTTATCCAAAATATTTACGCCAACCAAAAAATATGAGGAACTTAAGACCAAAAAAATAGGTAGAATAGTGGTGTTTGGACTATTTCTGAAACCTTTTGTTTGTACTGCATTTTAGGGCTCGGAGGATAGGAGCTCAAATGAAAAAGTATTCAGGAATGGTGAGAGAAAGGTAAGAGAACAAATGGAAGAAAAAGGAGAGGGAGAAATAGTATTACAGAGATGAAGAGAAAGAAAGCCAGAGAGAGGCATTTAGAGAGATGGATAGAGGAAGAGAGAGACAGAGAATGAAAGAATGACTTACTGAGGGGAAAAAAAAGAACTGCAAGAAATCACCTAACTCACTTCTCCACATTCAGGCCTCTTCATACCTACATGGGTTAGACAGAAGAAAATATATCTTTTTAGATCTACAGATGAACAGATTTGGGGAGTTTAATGAATAAACTATTCTAGATAGCCGATTCCCTTAATGTGGGAAATGTTCCTTACAGCAAGCATAAATCCTATATGCTTTGCTGTGCTTTCTTCTCAATATTAATGGAGGATGGTCTAAGTCTGTCCTCTAGGAAATAATTTTTCTTTCTTATATCTCCCTTCAGGCTTTTCTTCTCTTGGCTGAATAATTGTTCCTTTTCCTGTTCTTCATTATTCTAATTTTTAAACTTTTAATTATCTTTATCGGTTTCCTGAGTATCCTCCACAAATTCCCCCAAGCCCACCTCAAAGTGATCTAAAAACAAGAACTACATAAATGTGTATAGATCAGTTTATGATGCTTGTAGAAAATAAAGCAGTTACATACGCCCTATTTCCTTTGACCATCACAATCTTCCCTTAATACAGACATTACAGTTACCCTTGCTGTATCAAAAAGAAAAAGGCATGCAGGGATTAAACACCTTAGATATTGCTAGACAGAGAAAGGAGGACAGCCACATGCTCAGGAACACAAGTGCAGAGGCAGCCATTCCAGCTGGTGTACGGAGGAGAGTGGAAGGACATAAGACAGAAACAGAAAATGACAGCCGGTCTCTGAGGGGGTTTGCATGCCATGCAAGAATTTTCTCATTTGATCCATTGCGCAATGGATGTTTTAAGTAATCTAGTGAAAGACCAGGCTTGTTTTAATGGACAGCTGCTCTTCCCACAGTATGTAGTATGATGTGGAACAGGTGGGAGAGACTTATGCCCAACAAGCTATGAGGATATTGGGAGTCTCCGGAAGTAAACCAGGTGAGAAGTGATGAGTCCCAAACTAAGGCAAAAACTATAAAGACTGAAGATTTGGACCCACATTCAGGGAACGTTAATGGACAGAGGAAGGACAGTCCATGAAAGAGACTGAAAGGAAATAGTCAAAGAAGGAGAAAGCAGATCGGGAGAGTGATACTTAAGGCAAATAGCACTGCCATGGTCTCAATGTTTGTGTCACTCGAAGGCACCATCACCAACCTAAGATGTTGATTAGGTTTCAACATAGGATTATGTTGAACATATGTATTAAGCGTATGTTCAACATATGTTCAACATATTCATAAGTTGAAACCTAATCTCTAATTTGGTGGTATTAGGAGGTGGGGCCTTTGGAATCTGATTCAGAGTTCTCCTGAATGGGATTAGTGCTCTTCTAAAAGAGTCCCCAGAGAGCTGCCTTTTCCTTTTACTATGTAAGGATGCAGCAAGAAGACACCTTCTAGGAACCAGAAGATGGTCCTCAACAGGCACCGAATCTGCAGGTACCTTAATCTTGAACTTCACACCTCCAGAACTGTGAGAAATAAATTTCTATTGTTTATAATCCACCCAGTGTGTCATATTTTATTACAGCAAAATACTGCAATGGACCAAGACAAGCACCAAACTGACGGTTGGACAAGCAGTAGCACAGAGGCTGCAAAGACACTCCAGAGCTGGTGTTTAGCAGGTCACCAGTAACGGCTCTGAAGTGAGTACTTTTATTAAGCACTGGAGATGCAGAAGAAAACCTGCAGTGCATTGAGAAGTAAATACTGAGTGATAGAAACTATTATTTCTAGAAATTTTATGGTGATGATGAGAAACAAGATAAAGCAATAACTTGAGGAAAATTTAAGAGGCAGAGAGGAGTTTTGCTTTGGGGGATGTTACAGACAAAAGAGAATAAGCACAATATGAGCAAAGTATCATCAAGCATTATATTTTATGGGTGAAAACACACCATCACTTGGCAATGAGTAAGCTTTAGCTAAAAATAGAATGAACCTGGCATTAAATATTCCCATGATCTGAAGCATTAGGCATTAACGTGTGCAGTAAATCTAAGAGACAATTAGGATGTTTAATAGAATTTATTGGTCTCCGCATGCATAGATATCTATATATATTCCAAACTCTCTGCTAGTACTGCCCATAAAAAAATGACCAGTATTCCAAATGAAAAGAATAAATCTCAATTCTTTTATATATATAATGTCACTTTGCAACCTTATCCCACATATTAGTAGATAACAGAATGCTAGTGATTCCCATCTGGCACGTTTATGGGGCATAAAATAACCCGTGTTTTCAGTTTTTAGCTTCAGCATTATTTTCAGTACACTACATAATATAAACATACCTAGCACCATGTCTATCCCATTATAGAGGATAAATGAACTGAATTAAACTTTGTCATTATTTTTGGAGTCCTGATATGCCTGTTTTCTTTGCCCTAAAAGAATCATTCTAATTTTAATACAATTTGAAACACCCCCAAAGGCTTTTTTTTAGTCTGATATTACTGTTCCTCTGCAATCTGTAACTAGCATTCCCATTAAAGCAATATCAGGTCATCATTCTTAATGTCCTCACCACTACATGGCTTGCTCAGCTACCAATCTGCTATAGCTTCTAGGCTCATTTTAGCCTTTTTACTAATATCCCACTTGTTTTGGTGGACTTCTCAAAGTGCTCCTCCATATACATATGGCAAAATAATATTCTGCTTCTTATTCTGTTTCTTTCTCATGCTCCTCCTCATTGGTAACATTTGATATTGAAATTCTAAACTCTAGACTTTGAAGTCATGTTTTATGCAGTTCTAAGCCAGGACTCCACCCAATTCGCCAATGCATTCAGGCTTCATCTAGACTATCTCTAGTTTTATCACTTTATTATATCAGGTTCTTTATATTTTATCTGAAAACAAGGTTGTACTGCTAAACCAAAAGTTTGAAAAACAAAACAAAAAGTTTTAAAGTTTTAGACACCCTACTATATCACTATTTTTAAAAAATGTAAATAATTAAACTTCCACATATACCCAAGTATTTTTACCATCTTATGGAAAAGTGTTAAAAGTATAGTGTTACTATTAATTTCTTCAACCAAGTCCACTGTGGCATACCATTTAGGGCATGAAAATCAAAACATCACAGAGATCTGCAAAGGGCAATGGTCACCTGCCAGAAATCTATTTAAGTATTTTGTATGGAATAATTATTTTTTAAAAAAATTAAAAAACAAAAATGCTGATACCAAGAAAAGGCTGAGGTTGCAAAGCACAGAGGTTGCTATTTTGTTAAAGAATAATTAGCTGTTGATACTTAAGATCTCTTTAGAAAAGTGGAAATAACTTCAGGTTGACTTTAAAAAAAAAATAAAGATAGCCTGAGGTTGGCTTTGCCAGTAATCAAATAATAACAGCAGACTTCTAAGCAGATGGATAAGAACCAGATGTCAAAAGCAAATTAACACATCATGAGACTGCTCCATCCCCTGAACAGTTGAAAGACATCCCATAAGATCATGGGCTGGCCCTTTGCCAGCCATACCTGAGGCAAGAGACGTCTGCCATGAGATCAAGAAATGACACAAGGGAACCACTATAAGGAAACAAGAAAAGATAAATGTACCTATTCCATCACTTGACTGAAAGCAGTATCTCTCAGATATATGTTCAATATTATTTGGAGAGACTAAGACCTATTCCTTTTAGAAATGTTAAGGCAAAACAAGAACAGTTAACACAGATTTTGAGTGTCACCAATGAGCCCAGCTGGCTATTTCTCAAGAAAGTTATGATAGTATAGGATCTGGCTCCCAGCCTTCAGACTCAAAAATCTGACTTTGGCAGAAGTCTAAGAAGGGGTTTAGCCCTTAGGGATATACCCTTAGTAGACTGATGTAACACACAGAATACTAATGGCCATATTTTAAAAGAGAAATGTAAACATCACCAGGACCAAAGCCCTCATATTTGCTTGACTCTGGTATTCATTCTCATAGGCAGACACATCTAAGAATCCAAATTATGATCAGAAACTTAGAGAGTTAGCATGGTCTCAGAAAAAAAAGGGCATTTGTGAGATGACTTAAGTCTGTAATAATAGGCAAAAATGCCTGCTGTCTCTGTCTTCAAAGGAGAGATGTTCTGGAAAGTGGAGAACAGTATCACTGGCAGCCTCTCTCCCGGACAATGCTCAGCCACATCATGCCATCACTGACCTCTATGACTGTAAGACCTCTGAGGGGTCAGGGACATTGCCTGTCTTGTTCATCACTATAGCCTCTGTCTGGCACCCAGAAAGCATTCAATATATATTTGTTTGGCTGAATGAATTCAACTCACCTTTTTCTATGTTTGCAATGCTGACCAATGCATATTCTATTTTCAAATATGTTAATGTTCAATCCAGTTACTATAGACCCTACTGACCCTGGGGCCATTTTATACAAAAGCTGACCTTATCCATCTCTGCTCTAACTTATTAAATTGGACTCTTAGAGGAGTCATCCTATATTCCTATTTCAAAATTCATTATAGATACCTATCTGAACTGTCTCCAAGCACCAGCAACACTCATTTTGACCTATTCCAGATTACTGTATTTTTATTTTATTTTATTTTATTATTATTATACTTTAAGTTTTAGGGTACATGTGCACAATGTGCAGGTTTGTTACATATGTATACATGTGCCATGTTGGTGTATTGCACCCATTAACTCGTCATTTAGGTATATCTCCTAATGCTATCCCTCCCCCATCCCCCCACCCCACAACAGTCCACAGAGTGTGATGTTCCCCTTCCTATGTCCATGTGTTCTCGTTGTTCAATTCCCACCTATGAGTGAGAACATGCGGTGTTTGGTTTTTTGTCCTTGCAATAGTTTGCTAAGAATGATGACTTCCAAGTTCATCCATGTCCCTACAAAGAACATGAACTCATCATTTTTTATGGCTGCATAGTATTCCATGGTGTATATGTGCCACATTTTCTTAATCCAGTCTATCGTTGTTGGACATTTGGGTTGGTTCCAAGTCTTTGCTATTGTGAATAGTGCCGCAATAAACATACGTGTGCATGTCTCTTTATTGCAGCATGATTTATAGTCCTTTGGGTATATACCCAGTAACGGGATGGCTGGGTCAAATGGTATTTCTAGTTCTAGATCCCTGAGGAATCACCACACTGACTTCCACAATGGTTGAACTAGTTTACAGTCCCACCAACAGTGTAAAAGTGTTCCTATTTCTCCACATCCTCTCCAGCACCTGTTGTTTCCTGACTTTTTAATCATCGCCATTCTAACTGGTGTGAGATGGTGTCTCATTATGGTTTTGATTTGCATTTCTCTGATGGCCAGTGATGATGAGCATTTTTTCATGTGTTTTTTGGCTGCATAAATGTCTTCCTTTGAGAAGTGTCTGTTCATATGCTTCGCCCACTTTTTGATGAGGTTGTTTGTTTTTTTCTTGTAAATTTGTTTGAGTTCATTGTAGATTCTGGATATTAGCCCTTTGTCAGATGAGTAGGTTGTGAAAATTTTCTCCCATTCTGTAGGTTGCCTGTTCACTCTGATGGTAGTTTCTTTTGCTGTGCAGAAGCTCTTGAGTTGAATTAGATCCCATTTGTCAATTTTGTCTTTTGTTGCCATTGCTTTTGGTGTTTTAGACATGAAGTCCTTGCCCATGCCTATGTCCTGAATGGTATTGCCTAGCTTTTCTTCTAGGGTTTTTATGGTTTTAGGTCTAACATGTAAGTCTTTAATCCATCTTGAATTAATTTTTGTATAAGGTGTAAGGAAGGGATCCAGTTTCAGCTTTCTACATATGGCTAGTCAGTTTTCCCAGCACCATTTATTAAATAGGGAATCCTTTCCCCATTGCTTGTTTTTCTCAGGTTTGTCAAAGATCAGATAGTTGTAGATATGCGGCATTATTTCTGAGGGCTCTGTTCTGTTCCATTGATCTATATCTCTGTTTTGGTACCAGTACCATGCTGTTTTGGTTACTGTAGCCCTGTAGTATAGTTTGAAGTCAGGTAGCGTGATGCCTCCAGCTTTGTTCTTTTGGCTTAGGATTGACTTGGCGATGTGGGCTCTTTTTTGGTTCCATATGAACTTTAAAGTAGTTTTTTCCAATTCTGTGAAGAAAGTCATTGGTAGCTTGATGGGGATGGCATTGAATCTATAAATTACCTTGGGCAGTATGGCCATTTACACGATATTGATTCTTCCTATCCACAAGCATGGAATGTTCTTCCATTTGTTTATATCCTCTTTTATTTCATTGAGTAATGGTTTGTAGTTCTCCTTGAAGAAGTCCTTCATGTCCCTTGTAAGTTGGATTCCTAGGTATTTTATTCTCTTTGAAGCAATTGTGAATGGGAGTTCACTCGTGATTTGGCTGTTTGTCTGTTATTGGTATATAAGAATGCTTGTGATTTTTGTACATTGATTTTGTATCCTGAGACTTTGCTGAAGTTGCTTATCAGCTTAAGGAGATTTTGGGCTGAGACAATGGGGTTTTCTAGATATACAATCATGTCGTCTACAAACAGGGACAATTTGACTTCCTCTTTTCCTAATTGAATACCCTTTATTTCCTTCTCCTGCCTAATTGCCCTGGCCAGAACTTCCAACACTATGTTGAATAGGAGTGGTGAGGGAGGGCATCCCTGTCTTGTGCCAGTTTTCAAAGGGAATGCTTCCAGTTTTTGCCCATTCAGTATTTCTAACTGGTATAATTCCAACTTGGCCACTGGTGAAGATTTGGAAGCTATTGTATCTTTGAGTCATGAAAATGAATACCTAACCTGAAAATAAGTGACAACTTTGAACCGAGCTTTTTCTTCTCTCTCTCCTATTCATCTTCCAGGCTTTTTCTCTGCAACTTTCTCTTGAATCTAAAGGCCTACTTTCATTTTTTCTTCTCACTTCTGTACTAATACACACTCACTATCCAGCCTCTATTCAACTAAACACATATCTTCCATTTCTTTCCCCACTTTGCTACTTACTTCCCAGTGGTCCCATCAAATTTCTATTTGCAGAAATTTAGATTTCTATTCAAATCCACTCTCAACATAAGATTCATACAAAATGGCTTCCCAATCCTACTCGTTGAATGAATTTACTTATTTTTCTCAAAGTTTTTGCCAAAAAATGGTCTGTTTTGAGGATTCCACATACAAAAAGCCAAAAAGAATTAAGAATATTAAACTTAATAAAGCAAATAAAAATGTTAACAAGTGTTAACGCTTCAGGATCAGACTTTCACTAAACTGCTAGTACATGCTTGTGTAATATGCATTGTACATGGGTCATGTGCATGTACAGCACAGACAAGTGTCCTTTCCCTTACAGTGCTTTTCACTACAGAAGCAGCAAGAACAAGTTGTAGTGGTATCATGCATCTTTTTAATGCTCAGACGATTTTTTTGCCCTGATCCCACCCCTGACAAAAAATGTTGACCAACATGGTAATATTTTAACTAATTAGTCTGGTAGGATCACATTACCAGTGTAAAAATATGACGGTACATACGTATGAAACAATGCCAAATACTTTCAGACAAATAATATTTACTAGTTGTTTATAAATTAGAAAAAGTGTCTAACAAAGTCCTTGGCACACAGTAAGAACTTACATTTTAATTTCTCTCTCCCCTTTTTAGTTGAGTATTCCCCCACACACACACTAACACATATGCAAGTTATTTCCCTAATTTGCACTATTCATTAATTAATAGTGAGTGAATTTTTAGAAATATCGACTTGGATGCCCAGAGTGGATTTTCTTAGTGATAATGGAATTCCTATCTTCATACTAGAAATGGGAAGAATTAAATACTGGACATGAAAGACAAGGTTTAAGGGGATATTTGTGTCGATTGATTTATGCTCTTTTATCAACCATCTAGAATTGCTCCGTGTGCTAGAGATGTCAAAGGTAATTTTTTAATACTTTTCACTAATGCATTTCTTTCATTACTCCTTCTGGGTCTTTCAATATAATCAGAAAGCCAGCCAAAATAAAAATTTAGGAACCATTACTATTAATAAATGCAAGCTCCTGGGTAAAGTGTCAAAACATTTCCAAGGGGCTAGACTTTAACCTCCAATTCATTCCACTCACTTCTGTCCAATTACCAAATGCATGCCGCTCTAACCAAAGTGCACATTTTTTAAGTTTGACATTGACATGCACCACACAGAGATCAGAACTGGGCAGAAGCCCATGACTTACTATGATCTATATTCTGTCATTGGAGCTAATGCATAGTGAATGGTTCAAAATTCTCTTCCCTTTCTTCAGCCCTTTAAATTGAATCAAGCATAGGCACAATATTAATTTTAAAGTTAACTTACTCTAATTGAATGGCAATGCTTTATTATAGTCATGTATCAAACAAGGGTCGTAATACATCATAAGGGACACAGCTAAAGTAGATTCTTCCATGTTTTGCTTTTCATTCTGCTTGATTTTTCATACTCTAGCCCTTTAAATACTATTAGTTGATTAATATACTCTGTGAGTAAATTAACAATATTAAATCATCCCTGTATAAACCACAGCAATACTAAATCATGCACAATGATATGCAAACCAGTTCATATTTCTTTAAACAGAAGAATTCTTAAGCCACTGAAACACACAGCTAAAGAAATCTTTAGTGGTCATCCAGTCTATCTGCCTTCCTCCAAGAAAGATCAATTTTCTCACATTCCACCTCTGTCCCTTAGATGATTCTGTCTCTTAGTAGCATCTAAGAAAAAGTAATGAGTAAATATTTCTTAAAAGATCTATGTAATGCTATTCAATGAAAAAAAGATGATTTCATTGGGATGATTGGTTTATAACTTCCTAGAAATAAGAAAAAGAAACTTCCCATGGTTGGATTGAGAAATCAAACATGGTTTTTTGTTAACATCCATCACCTGATTTTCATTGTAAACATTAGAATTGGTCTAATACAAAACTGTGAGGTTTGTGCCAATGTCCTCCATCCCCCAGAGAGGGATCCTGGACACTGTGATTCTTGTTCATATTAATTGTGAGAACTGAATGAAATTATATACGCAAAACAGGTTAAAAACATTTCAGAAACTTAAAAAATCATACAATTATATTAATAATTATCAAACTGGGATTGATGAAAACAGTATCAATTAGAAATAACAAAGTTAGAGAGACAAAGTCTTTAGCTTTATACTCTGGGGAGCTGTGAATATATAATTTAATTTGAATAATGTTAGTAATTCTGGCATGTTATTCTTTCTTCAGAAAAAAAATCTCCCTTGACCAGACACTGAAAAAAAATAGGATTTAGCCTAATATAACTCCAAGCCCAATTAGCGTTCTTACGGATTCGGAGTATTACCATGCTCATCTCAAACTTTCACAGTCTTATTCCCTATCTCTGAAACACTTGCTCCTTCCTCCCACCCCCATTTCAGTCTAATTTCTATCCTTATGTTTGCAACTTAAATGTCACTGCTTCAAGGGAATTTTTCTGCTCCAAACCCCACTCCAAACTAGGTCAAGTCAATTTCCTGTACTGCAGAAGTGCAGAACACTTTGTACTCTTCCTCCTTTATTGAATTTAAGAAAACTGTATTCACAAGATTATGTGGTCATAATATATGCTCTGTGTTCACAGGAGTTATGTCTGCCTTGTATGGTTCACCCCCTGGCAGAGAGTTGGAGCTCAAAAACTACTGGTGAAAGAATGAATAGTTCTTAGCCTCTTAGGATCTACATGGAGACTGCTGATGCTTTTCCATGCCACTTGAGTTCTCTGGGTAGACGTCTGGTTTTCTATAGTGTGTGGCTGCTTTTGAAGGAGTTCAGTATTTTTATTCCCATGAGTTAGCTTCAACAACAGCTATTCCATTGGCAAAGTCACTCCTATGTGTGGGCGAGAGGTGTTGTTATTTCAATATGCCTCTGGATGGTCCCTAGATGGTAATAAAAGTAATGTCTTCTACACAAGCTAGCATTAAAGCATTTCATCTCCTACCTCCTAGGCAAGATGATCTCACTGCACTGCACTTAGGAAAGCCCCTAGTTCTAAATGTCAAGCTCTGATGGTACCCATCAGTACCTGGCCCACTGTACTGAGCTCAGCCAAACACTGCTTTGCTTTTTGAAAGGAACACCCTGTCAGAGGATGTGACTGGAAATATGCTTTCAGAAATTCTATGATTTTAGCAACATGTGAAGAATCTAGAAGGTAATAAATGCGTACACAAAGTTGAGCATTTAATCCCACACAGTGGCAAGAGAATGACTTATTTCTATACTTAGCTCTGTGTTATTTTATTATAAAGAGATGCAGCTGATACATATCGGATTCTTCACTATGATCAGCATAACCATTCTTTGTTACCAGTGAACCATGCTAATTCATATTCCAAGATGAGGCATCTGAGCTGAGTATCTTCTTGTGTCACATGGGATGGCTATACTTTTTTCCCCCCTCATCAGTTCTACAAATCATATGGCTTATCATTAATCTACTGACCCCATCTATGTCACCAGAAAATGTGGGTGTAGTATTTGAAATGAACAGCTAACATATCCAAATATATGGTTACAATACAGCATGAATAAAAACCTATAACTGGACTACATTTATCAGAATTTTTCTCGAGGCTAACAGAAAAAAGAAACAACTAGAAACATGCAGTTTTAAATTGTTTCTGTTTTTACACTCCAGTTTCCCTTGGGTAAATATAACATCTAGAATACTGTCCTTTCCAAAGCCTTGAATTTTGAAAAGAATGCAAAGTTGATTGTATTCTGCCCTCTGTTGTGCCAACTGACAATAAAATGCTGAGAATAGAAATATTCCCCCCTTCTGACCTTAATATCAATCAGTAGACACTGTCAAACTTTACATTTTATTGTCCCTTCCTTAGTGGCACGCTGTAAATAGAAACATTATTGTTATAAATTGTTCTTTGAAGTTTGACATTGTACAAATTACACTGTGCACTCTATTTTATTAAATGGCAAAACTCAACAGGCTTTCTATCAGGAGCCCAACCTATGGTACTTTGTTCTCCTAAGAAATGAGTGCTATGTTGGCAGGCTAAGCATGAGGCCTCATCCTAATCATTCTGCCAACAAGAAAGTTGATATGGTTTGGCTGTATCCTCACCCAAATCTCAACTTGAATTGTAGCTCCCAGAATTCCCACGTGTTGTGGGAGGGACCCAGGGGAGGTAATTGAATCATGGGGGCTGGTCTTTCCTGTGTTATTCTCATGATAGCAAATAAGTCTCCTGAGGTCTGATGGGTTTATCAGGGGTTTCCACTTTTGCATCATTCTCTTTTTCTCTTGCCGCCACCATGTAAGAAGTGCCTTTCACCTCCCACCATGAGGTTCTGAGGCCTCCCCAGCCATGTGGAACTGTAAATCCAATTAAATCTCTTTTCGTTATCAGCAGCATGAAAACGGACTAATATGTAAGTCACAAAATATTTTTCTGAGGATATAACTTAAAGTATTTATCTTGATATGTTTTAATATGTATCTTTGTATACCTTAACATAGAGAGGTAATACACTCTATCAGAGGTAATACGCTCTATCAGCAAGAGGTGATGCCTGCACTCAGCAAAAAAAAAAAAAAAACAAAAAAAAACACATAAATACAGGATTAAGAATTAGTACACAAACAAAAAGGCACAAGAATGGAAGTAAAGAGGAATTAAGTGTTTTTCTTGTCTTTAAAAGGTGTTCTGGGCTGAGGGTGTTGGCTCATGCCTGTAGTCCCAGCACTTTGGGAGGCTGAGGCGAGTGGATCACCTTAGGACGTCAGGGGTTTGAGACCAGCCTGAGCAACATGGTGAAACTGCATCTCTACTAAAAATACAAAAATTAGCTGGGTATGGTGGCACATGCCTGTAATCCCAGCTACTCGGGAGGCCGAGGCAGTAGAACTGCCTGAGCCCGGGAGGCAGAGGTTGCAGTGAGCCGAGATTGTGCCACTGCACTCCAACCTGGGTGACAGAGTGAGACTCAGTCTCAAAATAAATAAATAAATAAATAAATAAATAAATAAATAAATAAATAAATAAATAAAAAGTAAGATAAAAATAAAAGGGGCCCTGCACTCAAAGACAGGAACAATAAACCCTGGAGAATCCAAAAGTGGGAAGGGAGCAAGGGTTGAAAAACCACCTATCAGAGGCTATGTTTACTACTTGAGTGACAAGATAAGTAGAAGCCCAAACCTCAGCATCACACACGTAACAATCCTGCACATGTACCCCCTGAATCTAAAATAAAATTTAAATTAAAAACATTGTTTAAAGGTGGTTAAATCAATCACAAATATCTCTATGTCTGAATATATACCATGTTTAATGTATCAGAATTGATGTGTGGAATAGAAAAAATGCTATGGTTGTCTTCATGAAATTTATAGTCTAGTTGATCAAGTATGGGATAAACACATAAGACAATAAGAAAAGAAGACATTATGTGGTAAGTATTGCTAATCACAATAGATGCTCTAGAAGATGGGTTGGCAAAATATAGCTCCTTTGTTAATAATTATTACAAATTATTTGTAGATAATTTGTTGGAACACAGCCACACCTATTTGTTTAAGAATTGTCTATGGCTGTTTTTATTTACAACAAGAAGACTCAATATTGCAACTGAAACCTATGGCCCACCAAGGCTAAAATACTTACTGTCTTTAAGAAAAAGTTTGCTATCCCCTACTGTAAAAGGTTAGAGGAAGAAGAAATTGCTATTCACTAGACTGGGAAAGAATGGCTTGAAGAATGGGTAGAAATCAGTGAGGAAAGGTGTTACAGGAGAATTATAGATTCATGATAAGTGTATTCTCATGTGACTCTCTTACGCTGAGAGAGTCACATGAGCAAAAGTGCAGAGGTGAAAATCTGTGGGGTGGGACAATACAGAAGCCAACCTGGCTTAAGGTGGTAGGGGCCATTGTTTGGGAAGAGGAGACCAAGTGGAAAAGGTGGTTTTGAGTATGGCACAAGACTGACAAAAAGCACCTAAATGTCAAGTGAAGAAACAGAGACTTTCTCCTCCTAGTCAACAGAGGGGAGCTTTGTGGTTGTCAGGGTGGTGGCTTTATTTATTTTGCTTTATTTTAGCAGCTAAGTAAAACATCAAAGATACAGTTTAGAAGATATTACCATTTTTGTATTTCAATAAAGCATTTATTATATTTCTTCTAACTAGTTCAGTTTGCGGCAGAGCAAAGATTGTCAAGGAGTTTTTTATACCACTTCTATAAATTCATCCTTCCTTTTCATTCATTTCAAAGAACATTTAACATTGTTATTTATAGCTTCTTACCCAGCACATATTTGTGTCCTTTATACCTGTGATCCATATTGTCTTCATGCTTAATACTTGAAGTATCAAAGCCCTGAGCAGCAACAGAGAAAAAGAATGACATTTGACCAGGTCCCTTTTGATGTACAGGGTGTACAGGTGCTGTCATTTTGATTTGCCCAAAGGTTAAAACTTAAAAACAGTATAGAAAGTGCAGTCCTCCAAAGAAATAAATACACTAGGGCCAGCTCCCAGGCATATAGTGTTTGATACTTTTGCTCCTGGCTGTTGGCCATTTTAGTCTAGTGCTGGAGGCAACAGTTCAGCCCAGGAAAGATTTGGCAAGTCTGTTCAAGTATCCAGTGACCCTGAGTGGTATAGCTCAGTTGTTAACCATTTGTGCCTAAGAGTCCAGGTAAATTCTGCAGCAGAATTATAGGTTCATGATAGGTGTATTCCCAGAACTACCTAAGATCCATCTAAGGAAGTCTCCCGACATCTTCAGATTAACCTTGAATGAAATTAAACTTTCAGGTGTCACCCAGGACCACATTAGATTTCACAAGATCACTCATAATCTAAATGGAGACATCAGTTCTAATTCAAATCAGCCTCATGCGCCAGAGGCTGTGATAGAACTAGATTTAACTCAACTAACCTTGTTTTATGGAAATTTTTTAAGAGGAAATACAATATAATGGAAAAATCACAAGCTCTAAAATTAGAAGATCTGAGTTAATTTTATTAGTTGAGTGAGACAATCACTTAATTTCCCTGAATATAATTTTTTCTTACCTGTAAACTTATATAATACTGTCATGACTATACTAATTAATCTCACAGTGTTATGGGGGAAATCAAAGAGAAAACACTGGTGAAACTACATTGTAAACTTTAAGCTGTTCTGAAAATATTTATTATTACCACTTCATATTTATACAGAAATTCCTAAAGTGTTGCTGGGAAGCCCTGGAGACACCAAGACCCTTTGAGTTCTGCCACAACAAAACTGTTTTTATAACAGAACTAAGCTGTTATTTGACTTTTTCACTCTTAACTATCTAAAGCTACAGTGAAGTGTTCCAGAGGCTAAGGGACATATGATATCATCACGCTATCAGCTGACAGAATGCTGTGCTTGTGTACATTTGTATTTTCCAGAATTTTCTAAAGTAAATGTTTGGGGTGCTCAATAAATTTTAAGAATGTAAAAGACTTCTGATATCAAAAAGTTTGAGAACCACTATTTTATATCAGTTTAGAGCTCCTTTTGTACTTTATAAACAAATAATGCACAGATTATATGTTCCTTTGGTAAATACATGTCAAGTTTAGAGAGGCAGAGAAAAACATTTTTGAATGCTATACATTTGTGAACTTATCAATTTAAAAATAATAAGGCCAGGTGTGGTGGTCCATGCCTGTAATCCCAGCACTTTGGAAAGCCGAGGAGGGTGGATCACTTGAGCCCAGGAGTTTGAGACCAGTCTGGGCAACATAGCAACACCCCAACCCTACATAAAATAGGGAAATTGGTCGGGCGTGGGGGCACACACCTATAGTCCCAGCTGCTCTCGGCAGGCTGAGGTGGGGCCATCACCAGAGCCTGCAGAGATTGAGGCTACAGTAAGCCATGATCATGCCACTGCACTCCAACATGATTAACAAGAGTGAGACTCTGTCTCAATATACATACATACATACATACATACATACATACATACATACACACATAGAAAGAATGGTAAGAAAAAAACACTGCAAATTCAGTTATATCAACTAAGGTGCTTACTGAATACTTTTTGTATGTTTAGCACATTGTTCTAAGGCACACACAAGAAAAATCCAACACACTTCCGACTCAAAATACCTTGAAGTAATTAGTGAATAAAAGAGTATTTTTAGGGCAATACGAATATTGATTAAAATTCTGACTGAGCTATTTTATTTTGTGAAATTAATAATATAATTGTACATAATTTGGAACTAAAGTGTACTAATTTTGTGGCACAGATCAAAAGTAAAAACAACTAGGATAGGAATAGATCTATGACAGTGTGTATAAGAGGCATAAGAAAAAAGGCATCATACTCTTTGGCTTGGTTCTACAAATTATAATTTATAATTATATAATTTATAATTATTAATTATATAATACATAATTTATAATTATTAATTATATATTATATAATTTATAATTATTAATTATATATTATATAATTTATAATTATAAAGTCATAATAATGTAAATAATGACAATGAATTTAATTAAAATGACATCACATTTGCTGTCCGATGGAAACAAGACCAAGGGAAGTCACCCTGGTTGTTGTAATATAAGCCATAAGTATTGTTGGACCTCATGTACTATGCTCATGCATTTCATGGCTAAAAGTAAAAACTGTTTCTAAAAACTAGGCTTTCATACTTTGTTTGATAGCGAAAGAGCTGCTTGCAAATGGCCCTTGACCATTTGAATCTCTGATCTATCCAGATAGAATTTTGCTTGGGACTTGAGCCAGAAACTGAGAAAGCAAAGCAGGTCTGGATTTGAATAGAAACAAAGTTGAAGGCCAGCATGCAGAACAAACCTAGATCTGGAATGGAAAACAGGACCAAAGTACAATGGAGGCAGGAATCAAGAGTTGTGGCCGCACACAGTAGCTCACGCCTGTAATCCCAGCACTTTGGGCGGCTGAGAGGGGCGGATCACGAGGTCAGGAGATCGAGACCATCCTGGCCAACATGGTGAAACCCCATCTCTACTAAAATACAAAAAAAAATTAGCTGGGAGTGGTGGCACGCACCTGTAGTCACACTTACTCAGGAAGCTGAGGCGGGGGAATCGCTGGAACCTGGGAGGCGCAGGTTGCAGTGAGCTGAGATCATGCCACTACACTCCAGCCTGGCAACAAAGCAAGACTCCATCTCAAAAAAAAAAAAAAAAAAGACTTGGAAGCAACATCCAAGATACTCCAAGCCAAAGCATTTTAATACTCAATATCCTGTTGAAATAAAAGCTCTGGCAAAGTCTAGCATCATTTTCCATTGTTGTTAGCTTTCTTGTTCACTTTTCTTTGTTAAAACTGATGTTGGGAGTAAATTGACCTTAGATGACTTATAGCAAGAAACCTTGGTAAAGGAGAATACTTAAATTTATTTAAAACCCTGTGCTATTCTCTGTATCCTTCCCTCTCTCTCTCCTTTCTCATACTCTTCATCCTCTTCTCTTTTTTCTGAAACCGTGATTCCAGAAGAAATTGTAATTTTGAAAGAAGCTCTGCTTTATTTATTCTTATTCTTCTCTAGAAAAAAAAATAGCTAAAGAAGGAGCCCAAAGAGACAGTGTTTTTATACATTTTGTAATTGTTATGTTCAGTAATGATCAGGCATGGGGATAAAGAAGATAATTTCTGTCTTCCAGGAAGAAAACATGTTCTATAATTTCAAAGTAGTACAGATTTAGTGAGATGGCATACAAGAGTTAAAATGCATTATTAGCAACTACCTTTCGCAGGTGAGAAAACACCATTTTGCTTTCCCCTAAACATATGTTTCTCAATGTATTTTCTGCATTGCTGAAAATGGACTCTTGAACCCCTGTAGAGGGGAGCTGAAGGTGATCTGCTTTTGCATGTGTTCTCAGATCAAGCTCCCTATTGGTAATTTAGTGATAGCAAACCAGACAGAGTGATTATACCAGAGCCCCAGAACCACTAGCCACCTTGATACCAGCTTTATTATTTGGATTCGTACTTTGAAGTTCAAATGAATACATGTTCTGTATCTACATTTCTTAATCTGTGGTTATAATATGCAGATGCCCTGGTAACATTGTTTTAATTTAATCAAACATTTATTGAGCACTATGTAAAGCACATTTCTAGACACTGTAGTAGAAAAAAAAAATGAGACAAAGTACCTGTCAAATTAGCTTTAGGTAATTATGGAAACAAAACACGTGTAAAAGTAGGCCTCCAAAGACTACAAATGAGAAATGTTTGTACATTCAAAATAAAGGTTTAATGAGGTAGTCTTACGAATTAATAGCAAAACATGGATGATGCCAAATGTGTCAAGATTTCTAACAATACAAAATCACATCATTTTCCTCACTGGTAACATTTAATGAAAACTTCCTATATATCAGGTGCTGTTATTGAATCTTCACAGCAACCCTAGCTGAATGTAGTTTTCAGAAATTCTGCTTATATTAGATGGTACAGAGAAGCAAGCGTTTCAGGGAAGTCCTCTCATATAAAGTTTACTTATTCTTCAGAAACTGGATTTCAGATAAACTTTCACATCACCTGGGGAGCACTGGTCTGATGGTACCAGTAGGATTGAGTGCTTTTTTATATAGGAAGCAACAACGTAAGAGTATATTTAGCAGAGAATCCATATGGTCATTGTTATGCCACTATAAATATATGAAGTCGATAAGTAAATTAGGCTTAGCATGGGGGCCTGAGATCCCAGTATGAAGCCCTGAAAAGGACAGATCTTGGGAATTCAAGCCACCTCACCAGGTAGAAAAGGTGAAGTGAATAATTATCCCCAGATTGTGACCTTTTCTGATACAGATGAGGGAAAGAATGAAAGACACAACAGGGAAAGCTCATGCTTCATATAATACATTTGCCTCTTACTGTGAAATATCACTTTAGGACACAATTGGATTTTAAAGTTGTATTTTAAATAATTAAAATAATTAGTATAATGATATTTAAGTACCTTTTTATCGATAGTATGTTATATTGATAATGGCATAATGATAGACTACTGACAAAGGCTTAAAAAAATCTACAGATATGGTAGTAATGGCTTAGGTAGTTATCATTCTGAACTTTTTTGTTCCATGGATATTGGAAGACTTTTCAAAGTACAAGTATAATATAAATGATGTTTAAATAACATAAAAATGTCAACCCAAATTTAGTATTCCCCTTGTTCCAATAATAAATATGTTAGAATCTAAAGGCTTTAGGATAAAGGATCACTCTTAGTTTGGGCTGAAAAAACACAAACATATTTCTACCTATCTATATATATGATTTAGTCTGTCATCTACCTTTAAACCAATATTTAACCAGTTAGACATTTTCTTGTTGGAGACCATTTCAATAAATAAAACGTACTGCTTTAGAGAATTCACATAACATTTTGAAACAGTTGTGCTCAAAATATTTTGCTTGTGTTTTTTGTTGTATTTTTAGGAAACTGAATTTAATTTAGGAAAATTAATTTAATACAAATAAATAGGAAAAAAGACAAACAACCTAACTGGGAGGAAAAACTGAACAAAACATGTAACAAGCAAACAATATTTCACACACAAAAAAAGTAATAGTAATAAAAATATTAAAAGATGATCACTCTCATTAGTAATCAAGCAAATGAAAATTAAGACCACAATGAGATCATTTTACACCCAAGAGATTAGCATGAATTATGAAATCTGGCCAGGTGCAGTAGTTTATACCTGTAATCCCAGGGCTTTAGGAGGACAAGGCAGGTGAATCGCTTGAGCCCAGGAGTTCAAGAGCAACCTGAGTAACATGGCGAAAACTCGTATCTACAAAAAATACAAAAAATTAGCCCGGCGTGGTGGTGCATGCCTGTACTCCCAGCTACTCAAGAGACTGAGACAGGAGTGATACCTTGAGCCCAGGAAGTGGAGGTTGCAGTGAGCCAAGATCCCACTACTGCACTCCAGTCCAGCCTGGGCAACAGAGTGAAACCATGTCTAAAAAAAAAAAAAAAAAAAAAAAAAACTAACAATACCCAATACAAATTTAAGTGAGGATATGGATCAAGGGTAATATTGCCAGGAATAGTGTAAACTGGCACAAACATTTTTGAAAACAGTTTGTCATTATATGATAATTTAGTATGTTATTTATGTTACTGAACATAAATGTTCAATATCCAAGTTGAACATTTGGATAAACCATGGTCTTGCAACTCTGCTCTTCATTATATGCCTAGAAAAACTTTTGCATATGTTTAAAGGAAGATGTTTACACTAATATTCATAGCAGCACATATAAAATTGGGAAGAAAACTGGAAATGGTCCAAATATCCACCGATAGAAAAATGGATAAATAACTTGTGGTATACTCACACAATGGAATGTTTTACTATGAGAAAATTAATAAAGTATAGTCACAACATCAAAGATGAAAAAAATTACAAAAAGAAGTTCAAAGATAAGCAACATCAGGCAACCTACTTTTGGCTATATATACACATACACACACATACACCCACACATATACATATATACATATGACATAAAACTATTTTAAAATAAAGGCATGGGAGAAATAAGGCCAAAATGCAAAATAATCACTATTTGTGAAGGGATTCAGTGTAAGGCTACTAGTATTGTTCTGATTCCTGATTTGAGTGGTAGAGTTCATTATATTGTTGTGTTGCATAACATACTTTCATGTTGCATGAATTATATTTATAAATTGGTATATTTTAATGTCTTTAAAGGCTTATATGTAAAACTGTTACATAATTATTATTTGATAGTTGTAATTATTTCCAATTTTTCTCCCTTACTTTCTAGAAAGTACTTTTATGTAACATATTTCTCTCAATTCTATTTTATCGATCAATCATTTAAATGTGTTTTAAAAACCATAAGAAGAAAAAGTAAGGATATTTACTGTTTTGTTTATGATAAAAATATTTAGTAATATCTATATCTATGCCTATATCCCTATAGATACACTGACTTAGAACAGAAACCTATAGAAAACAGTAGCTATAGAACCCATAGATAATACATCCTTCAAACACAATTAGAAGTCAGTTAAAATACTCAGTAGTATCAATTAAGTTTCATACATTCGTAGAGAAAAAATGTTGAATTTGGACTAAGAAATCCATAAAATTTTTAATTGTTACTTTCTAACTCATACTGAAAATTTCTACACGCCCATAGATTTCATGCTTATAAATAACATGGGTACAATTTTGATTTTATATCAAACTGTGTAAATAAAAATTAATATGGTGTCAATGTCATTCTAATAGAATTATTCTATTTTACAGATGAGCAATAGTTGCTGTCCTTTTTGTTGAAACGATCTTATAAATCACAATTATTTGGCTGATAATTTCATAAATATAAATTAAATAATATTTTAATATTATTTACCTAGGGGAGTTTTTCTGTTATACCTGTCTGTTCTAAACTGTTTTGAAAGTTTATCCCATTAAGATTTATACAGTTAAACTCTCTCTCATAGTAATTGTGGTTCTGGCTCTAAAACCTAATACTGTATATGTGACATTAAATTATGCTGATGAGATTTTATTAATGGAATTGTGGGGCACCATGCTTCTAATTTACAAGGCTTCCAGTAAATAACTTGCTTGATGAGATTGGAGATTTATTTGTTTACTAACTTAGAAGTTTTGCATGTTGGACTTACTTCAGTCTCAAATAAATCCCCAAAGAAGTCATTAACTTTAAAAATAATTATAATCAATAATCATGGAAGCTTCAAACTCAGAACTTAAGACTCTACCAGAAGGAAATCACTGTACAGCAGAAATGTCAAATTTATATTCCAAGGCCATCTAATTATTGATTCTCTACAAATAAGGTTTTTAAATGTATAAACGGATGATCACAGAACACAGACGCTTCTGTCTCTCAGTGTGAATAATTGTAGAGATTTGCATATATGTTTAATACTGCCTGCACAAAGAAACCACAAAAAATGAACTGAGGAACACAAAAAGCTGGAACACCATGCATCTAATTAGGATCACATTTAGCTGAATTAAATCAGACACAAATATAGTTTGTGATTCCACAACTGTATCATTTTCAAATTTATGGCAACTGATTACTTCAGAGACATGACAAATATTACTAAATTAAACAAGTTTTCAAAAACAGAACTTAAATCAGAAGAAAAAGTGGCTAAAATGGATTATTCTTTTAGTACCAATATTTTTCTGCTTCATGTGTGAATTTATTTATCTATTTCTTCAAAAAATACTTACTGGGGACCTATTTCATGTCATGCAAATGCCAATGGAAAATAATACTATAGTTTAATTAAATCTGTTATAATTATTTGTTCATAATATTAGTACAAAAGTAATTATAACATAAATTCCCATTTAACTACAAAAACACTTACTTTTCATTATGCAATCTTGTATCAAAATCAGAAGATAAGTAATTTAGAACAGAAGTTGGCAAACTTTTTCTGCAAAGGGATAGATAGTGAATATTTTAGGCTTTGTAGGTGAGATAGTCTCTGTTACAACTCTATTCTGCCATGGAAGCACAAAAGTAGCCATATGTAACAGACAATACATCAGACAATACATAAATGAACGAACATGACTGTGTTCCAATAAAACTTTACTTAAGGAAACTGAAATTTACATTTTATATCATCTTCATTGGGTCATAAAATATTCTTCTTCTTTTGATTTTTTTCAACCATTTAAAAACGTGAAAATCATCCTTAGTTCACAGACCATGCCAAAACAGGTAGGAGGCAAGATGTGACCTGTGAGCCACAGTTTGCTGACCCTGATTTAGAACATAAAACTATCCTCTTTAAGAAAAGTTCCTTTCTTAAAAACATCATCTTTATGCATAACATGTGATATGGTTTGGCTGTTTCCCCACCCAAATCTCATCTTGAATTTTAGTTCCCCTAATCTCCACGTGTCATGGGAGGGACCTGGTGGGAGGTAATTTAATTATGGGGGCAGTTACCCTCATGCTGTTCTCATGATAGTGAGTTCTCATGATATCTGATGATTTTATAAGGTTCTTTTCCCCCACTTGCTTGGCACTTCTCCTTGCTGTCGCCATGTGAAGAGGGACGTGTTTGCTTCCCCTTCCACCATGATTGTAAGTTTCCTGAGGCCTCCTCAGCCATGCTGAACTGTGAGTCAATTAAATCTCTTTCCTCTATAAATTACCCAGTCTTGGGTATGTCTTTATTAGCAGTGTGAGAACAGACTAATAAAACATGAGAAAAGAATTTTGTGTTTCTCATATGGTTTTAAAGGTTCTACAATGGTACTCTGGACAGAACTATCAAACCTCAGTATACGTAGAGAAAGACTCCCATATGCACTCTTTTTTTTTTTTTTTTTTTTGAGATGGAGTTACTCTGTCGCCCAGGCTGGAATGCAATGCCATCATCTCGGTGCACTACAACCTGTGCCCCCCGGGTTCAAGTGATCCTCTCACCTCAGCCTCTTGAGTGGCTTGGATTACAGGCACCTGCCACCACGCCTAGCTAATTTTTTTTTATTTTTAGTAGAGATGAGGTTTCACCACGTTGGCCAGGCTGGTCTTGAACTCCTGACCTCGGGTGATCCACCTGCCTTGGCCTCCCAAAGTGCTGGATATCAGGCATGAGCCACTGCACCTGGCCCTCATTTTTAATTTCTTTAAAATAGTACCTCTCTGGAGATAAACAATTTTTTGGTTTGCTTCCCCTTAGTCTCATAAAATCTTATGTTGAGATAATCATATCTGCCTTATCTAAAATATCTTGAGATATCTTTACATATTGAAATGTAACTTAAATTTACAAGAAAAAAACAAACAATTCCATCAAAAAGTGGGCAAATGATATGAACAGACACTTCTCAAAAGAAGACATTTATGCAGTCAACAAACATATGAAAAAAAGCTCATCATCACTGGTCATTAGAGAAATGAAAATCAAAACCACAATGAGATACCATCTCATGCCAGTTAGAATGGCGATCATTAAAAAGTCAGAAAACAACAGATGCTGGAGAGGATGTGGAGAAATAGGAATGCTTTTATACTGTTGGTGGGAGTGTAAATTAGTTCAACCATTGTGGAAGACAGTGTGGCAATTCCTCAAGGATCTAGAACTAGAAATACCATTTGACCCAGCAATCCCATTACCGGGTATATACCCAAAGGATTATAAATCATTCTACTATAAAGACCATGCACATATATGTTTATTGCAGCACTATTCACAATAGCAAAGACTTGAAACCAACCCAAATGTCCATCAATGATAGGCTGGATAAGGAAAATGTGGCACATATACACCATGGGATACTATGCAGCCATAAAAAAAGGATGAGTTCATGTCCTTTGCAGGGACATAGATGAAGCTGGAAACCATCATTCTCAACAAACTAACACAAGAACAGAAAACCAAACTCCACATGTTCTCACTTATAAGTGGGAGTTGAACAATGAGAATACATGGACACAGGGAGGGTAACATCACATACTGGGGCCTGTTGGGGGGTGGGGGGGTGCTAGGGGAGGGATAGCATTAGAAGAAATACCTAATGTAGGTGATGGGTTGATGGCTGCAGCAAACCACCATGGCATGTGTATACCTATATAACAAACCTGCACATTCTTCACATGTATCCCAGAACTTAAAGTATAATAAAAATAAATAAATAAAAACAAAACAAAAACAAAATAATAATAATACCTAAGAATTTTACACAATTGTAAGGCATCTCAAATAGAAGATATTAAACTGAGTATCCTCAGGAAAAAAAAATTGAAATGTAAACATGTAAAAACAGAATATACTGAAAGTTGAGCACCAAAGTGCCTCCTCTGTGGTTCATCCAATCGTGCACTGGTTCTTGTGTCACCTGCAGTGTATACTCGTGGCTGTAAATGACTCACCAAGGATGAACCAGCTATGTTTGCACACATGCTGTCGAAATGCTGTATCCAGCTGGGGACAGCCACTTTCCTAGAACGTTAAAGAGCTGTGTCATGTATGTTGCTTGACATCTATCCACAACCAACTGATCCAGTTCAAATTACTTGATATGGTTTTATTGTTAACTCCAACAACAAATCAACTAAAATTCTGTGGAATCTTAAATATTTCTGTCGTTGGCATATCTCTCTGCTCTGAAGGTGTGACCCTTCAAAATACTAGTTGAGGGGAACAAAAGTGCAAAAATATGAAGATGTCTTTTACATAAATAGTGTTCTATTTCTCAAAATTAAACATTTTGGATAATTACGTCATTTACTTTTTCTGAGTTTTTATCAACACAGAAGTTATGATTACTTAATTCCTGTAATTTGCCTTTCTGAATACTGTCTCTTTGGTTTTTTGCATTTCTTTTGAGTTACTTGCTTGTAGGAAATGTCAAAAAAAATACTGGTATTTTTCCTCCTTCTTTTGAGTTTGTAAAATATAAGTACAACAACATATTTTGGTATTGGAATTTCTAAAGTTATGTCTTTGAGAGGAAAATATTTTCTATAAATAAGAAAATATAAAGTATGAATGAAGAACCTGAACTGTCAGCAAAAGGAATAATAAAATTATGCTGTTGGAATCCTGTTTGGTTTGAAGGACTATGCCAAAAGAATGAAGCAGTAACATTTTGCATCTTTTTCAAGGTCACAATTGCAGGTGAAATTATCTTAACATTTCTAAGTTGTTCTTAGAAAGGAATCCCTTCATATAAAAAAAAGTGATTAGAATATAATTTAGCAATTTAGCAGATGGTATTTCAAAATGAAAGCAAAATCTTCTAGGATTCATGCCCTTCCAATCAACAGAAAGGTGCAATAAATTAACCAAGCTCAGGGCTGACATGTTACATGATGTTTGGCCACGTTAAAGGGCTGGAAAATGTAGTAGTTCAAGCCATTGTTTATGTTTCTAAGTAATAAATTCAGCTCAACGTTTCTAAGTAATAAATTTAGATCAGACCAAAGTAACAAAAAAAAGAGTTCCTTCTGGCAAATATTCTCACACAGGCTATAAACTGAAATGAATCTAATATTAAATGAAAATAAAGATTTTCAAATTCTGCACAACTTTAGAGCAGAGTTCTTGACCTGTTTGCAGCAAGTTGTACCTGTGGCAATGCCAGCTTCAAAGTAGCATCTAGTAAAGAAACACAGGCTTGGAAGGCGATAGAAATGTGACTCATTTGAGCAACTGTTCTAATGAGAGCTTTTCACTGCCTTCAGCAGGTTAAGAATATTAAAGCTTTGTTCCTGCTAAGCCTGCGTGGGTATTTTCTATTTGTTAACTCCCCAGGAACTTGTTGTAATGTCTCCTGGTGAGTATGAGACTGTACCACATTCTGTAGTTGCCAGCTGGTAGAAGCAAAAACACTTGGGCAAGGTACTTGTTAAATGGCATATTTCTTCTCCCTGGCAGGCTCTGCAGACTGGGAAATCTGCTTCTTAGTTGGGCCTTCATTCTAATGGCCCAAACTGTCAAATCAATAGTTTAAGGCCTGTCTACTACTGCTCCTGGAAATGGTTGGTGTTTTGATTTTTTCATATCTTCCATCGGGCTATTTTACAGCCTGCTACAATAAATCCCCCATTAGTTCATTATCTACTACCATTCTCAAAGGGCTATATTTATTATAGTAAAGTTCAACGACTAAGGGGACAACTATGTTTATCCATGCATAATCAGAAATTACCATATTGCTGTGGACACTGATTACTCAAATATATATCAGCACTGGTTAATTGGAGATATGTGCTGATTTGCTATCCATATTTAAATCTATGGTATAAATGTAGAATCATGAACAGAATATCTCACTTACATGCTAAATAGCTTTTAACTTCATGAGCTGGGAGGTGTGAGCAAGATATGAAAACCTTTCTAACACCACAATAATGATCCATTATTAGTTTTTATAAAGAAGAGATGAATTAGTAACCTTTTCATTAAAGATTGTTTCTTCCTTGCCTTTGGTGTTCAAGTATGATTTGCTTGAATGTTATGTTGCTATATATGTCATTGAAATCCAATTCTTCCTGTCATTAATTAATAGAAGAAAAAGAGGCTCATATATCAAGTAACTTTTGTGTCACAGGCCACAGACACTCACAATACAATATAGTTCTTAATGTTATCAATAACCCAAATTTCTCTGATGTCATTTCCTCACTAATTTTTAAAGTACTTCCAGTGCTTTACAAAATCCATTCCAATTATTTCTTAGAGAATGAAGGCAATTTCTCACGTATGTTTTTAATGCAATGCCTGAGGTACTACCTGGCATCTGCCATTTTCCTCTTATGAAAAAGTCAGTTCATTTAGGTGGTGGTAACGGCAGTGATTGCATCAGCTGATTGGCTCTCCGAAGTCCTCAAAAACCTAATAGGGAACTTTGGCCCCACTGTTGTCAGCACTGCTAGGACTCAGACAATGCTAGTCTACCAAGTTATGGCACTGATGCTATCCCAAAATTGTGGTACCAAAGCCCAGTTTTACTGAAGAAAAGAGACCCTCCCCACCATCTTCATATGATACTACCTGGCCACAGTTTCAAAACAAGGCTGCTTTTGCTCCTAATGTCTCCTAGATATTCTCATGTAAAAGAGTACTATAATTTCCCCCCTATACCCCAAGGCACAAGTCTACAGCAAGATAAGCTAAAAAACAACATGAGAGGTGGACACCATATAATAGCCAAGTTCAACCTTCCTTTTTAAATAAATTAGCTTAGATTAAACTCACTGCCTGACTTGACCTTACCACTGGCATATCCTTTCCTAGGAGGATCCTCTGTACACAAAGATGAAGAAAATATTACTATCCCTGTTTTACAAGTAAAAAATCTAAGGCTAAGAAACAGAATCAGCTACTTAATTTTTGAGACCAAGTGAAAAAGGAAAATATGGATCTCCTTGTTCAAAAAATATTACACATTTCAAGATAGCAACTACAGAACATTAAACCAAGTGCAGGGCCCTCCTGACCAGGGTGCTGTGCAACTATGCAGATCACATGCTCATGAAGCCAACTCTGCACAAAGAAATGAAGTAACTTACCCAAGGCCACACAGCTACTGCATGCCTGAATCAGGATTTGAACACAGAGAGCTGATTCCAGCTCCTAGATTTGAAGCCACCATGTGCTCTGTTCCTAATACAACATCCCCACCATCCTTCAGATGTACCCAGTCTTGGCCAAAACCTAAGAGGAGAGCATAGCTCAGGTTTAAGGTGGGAATCACAAAATAACCCTGGTCTAGTCTCTTACATGTAGACAAAGTTATGACTAAGCCAGTCTAAAAAAATCAGCACTTACCACTATGGAGAAAGCACAGGGCTTCTTCATATGTTGAAAAAACTCAACTTCTGAGAAAACTGAATAAGCCTCAAACATGAAGGAGAAAATGACAAGAAACAATAATGCATTCATGTACATTGGGTTACACTAATGCATTAGTGTATAAAGAGTGGGGTTTACATCCTTTCTCAATTTTGTCTAAATTACCACGAAGCAAGAGATGCTAGCATGTTCTTAAGGATTCTAGGAAACAAGATCTCACCTCTCATGAAAAGGTTGAATTTGCCTCCTCCTCTGAAATTCTCTGTTTCTGAGGCATCAATAATTTTTTGTAAGAATTGCAGTTTTTACTTAAACACAGCTATTAAACATCTTTTTGCTTTAGACCAGAACTGCCAAATGTATATGATATATATACATTTGTATCATGATAAAGTCCCAAGTCAGACAAATCTAGAATTAAAGCCTCATTCATCTCTATTACTTACTAGCAACAGAACCTTACGGAAGTTATGTATCTCTCTGAGCTTTATATCTATAATTGAGAGATATAATTGCTTAGCAAATAAGCATTCAATAAATATTAACTTTTATTTATTCATTTTATTTTAATCCCTTAACTTTTCTTATAGCATTTGCAAGACTGAGACTTCGTAAATTTAATTTCCATAGGCGCTATTAATTTGTTTCTGGTATTAACTAATAAAAGACTAATGAGAAGGGATTTAATAAATAAAAACTATAATCAGGATGCCCAAATGTTCCCATGTACCCAGGACAATTCAAGTTGATACTTAATGTCTTAGTCTAATTATTAATAAAAGTCCCCTTTGATTCTCAGAAGTGTCCCGTTTTGGATGAAAAATTGTATGATTACCTTGACTATAATGCAACTGGTATAACTTCAAAGGCTACCAGTTTCTCCATTCCAGGTAAGTTGGTTTTTTTTCAAAAGTTACTTTTATTTGTGGCTTTGTAAAATCAAACAGAAAACAGGGAAGGTACATTGATTCATTAACAAAGGTTGATTAAAAACTTCTTGTGTTAACCCCTCTGTTAGGCATGTGAGGCCAACAAAAATAAAGAACACAATCACTATCACTAGTTTTGTTGTCTTGTATCTTTTTCTTTTTCCTTTCCAAAATGGCTCATGTACTAAAATCATTAAGAACCACATTCCCAGATTAAAATAATCACAATAACTTTAACTTATCCTTACAGAAATAATTTTCTGTCCTTTTTTTCTGCCACTTACATTTTTCACATTTCTCAATTTGTGTAGCCACAAATAGAATACCGAACACTGGACATCAACTTGCAAATGTAGTAAGAGTGCAGCTTCAGGCTTTGTCTACACCATATCTTCGAGACTGGCTCTTCTAAGAAGTTCCTTCCAACAACTACTCTCCTTGCTCCAACCTCCAACAGTACTTCCTCCAACAGCACTCCAACGACCTCCAGTCTCCAGCTTCGACTGATCTGAAACTTGCCACGTTGACTTTCAATACACTTTTAAATAAGGACATATCTGTGTTCCCAGCTGTACTAAAGTCTCCTTGAGAGCAGTTGGAAAACCTCAATAATAGTATGAATTGAAATTCATTAAACACTAAATGTATGCCAAATGCTTTACATTCTTTAGTTACTTAATCTTTAGAAACATACTTGAAGGTATTACCGTTTAAAAAAAAAATGCTTGATGGGGTATTGGGGGTGGGGGCAAAGTAACTTGCCCGAGTTCACCCAGCCAATAGGAAGGAAAGCAGAAGCAAAGTGTGACCCACAGTTGGTTGCCTCTTAAATCCTTGCTCTGATATTCTTCTTTACATGGCCTGAAAATAGAGTTATCTGGGCATTAGGCACAATAAGTGTTCAAAAATGATCTACTTATTAATGTTTTAAAAGCTTGTAATATAGAATAGGGAAGCAAATGCTAAAGGTTTTCAACAGAAAACAAAAGACAATGTGGGTTGTTTTTTTGTTGTTTTTTTTTTTGGGCAGGGGACAGTCTCGCTCTGTCGCCAGGCTGGAGTGCAGTAGTACGACCTCAGCTCACTGCAACCTCTGCCTTCTGGGTTCAAACGATTCTCCTGCCTCAGCCTTCTGAGTAAGTGGGACTACAGGCACACACCACCATGCCCAGCTAATTTTTGTATTTTAAGTAGAGATGGGGTTTCACCATGTTGGCCAGGATGGTCTCGATCTCTTGACTTCATGATCCGCCCACCTCGGCCTCCCAAAGTGCTGGGATTACAGGCGTGAGCCACAGTGCCTGGCCGACAATGTGGTTTTCTAAATCGCTTCTTTTAATCATAAATTATTTACCTGATTGGTCCTTGACACATATCTAACAAACAGCAGCCACTCAATAAACATTTGTGGAATGGAGAAACAAACTTATATTCAGGTTATTTGTTATATTCAAGCTGTATTCAGGAGGTTTGTTGTTTGTTTTATTTTCTTCTTTTCATTACCAGACTGAGCTCCCTATTTGAAACAAAAGCCCTGCCTAACCTGAGCCCCATATAGGGTCCTATGACTTCCTGAGACCTAAACGCTTGACCTCAGTGTGGACTTAGTGTGTCTGGCCAGACAGGCAAGAACTTATCACAAAAGTAACTCAGAACCCAGGGACCTAATTCTTGTCAGAAAGAGACAAAAGACAAAAGCCATCTTTTCTACTGAGGATTCAGGCAGAGAGAGAGGAACGGGAATGTGAAGCCTGTAGTGACAAGAGCAATATTTTTAGCATCCTCTGAGAATCTCTTCTGGTGTGTCTGGCTAGGTAAAACAAATAAAAAAATTCCAGATCCAAAGTAAAGGGAAAGAGTAAATAAAGCATGCTGTATGTTGCCTCTTAATTTTTTTTTTTGTTGTTTCTCTATTATTACCAAGAAAAGAGCTACTGTGGTTTTTCAATATCTCCTCAAAGTTCTCAATGCCAAACTGGAATAAATGGGAAAAAGTCTCCATTGGAGATAACTTGTTTATCTTTATTAGTGAGAAGTGCATCAATCTACCAACTCCTGGATGTGAAGCTGGAAGCCTCCTGAATGCCTAGTGCCATTCTGGCTATTAAATTTCAATTTAAAGCAATATTTCTTGAAATGTCATTTGCAGAAAATCTACATCAAAGAAGCCTGGATGCTTACTAAACTACAGATTCCCAGGCTTGTCACCACCCCTGCTTAACCAGAACCTCCGGATCGGAGCCTAGAAACCTGCATTTCATAACACTCCTTAGATGAATTTTAAGCACACAGGAATTTGAGAACCAATCACCAGACTTGAACCAGGCCACAACACATGCCATTTATAGGATACATGTGATATTACCTATCTGTGAAATTAAGGTCCTAAGATGCCCCAGAATTTCATCACCGCTCCTCATTTTTCCCTCGAGTTTTGCTAGGGTGCCCAGGACACTACAGAAAGCTGTTAGCAGCTACATAAGCAGAACACAACTAGATCCAAATCTGTTTTTGGTTGAATACTGATTGTAAGTAGTTTAATTATAGCTCTAAATTTCAGTTTCTTTATCTGTAAAATAGACATTGTAATAAAATAGTCACATCTTTCACACGTTGTTATAAAGATTAAATGTAGTTTACATTTGCAGCTTCATAGGTTAAAATTCCCATTCCCTTTAATTTTATTATTTATGCCTAAACCTAGGGGCTTTCTACATTCTTTCATAGCCATTTTGGAGCCTTAGGTCATTCATTATTTCAATCCCAAGGTCTGTTGGATAAAACAGCATCAGTCATGTGCAAGGGAAGGGTGAACGCACACCTGGACATAAGATGGATCTGAAGAGCAGTGTCTCCCAGCTGCATCCACTCAGGCAGGAGGAAAAACACCTGTCTGGCACGAGCGCGGCTGTTCTGCTCCCAGAGCTATTTGGAAACCCAGCTTTAAGCAAATCTTATGAAGAAACTACAGGGTTAGTTAAAAAACAAAGGGCCATTGTTATCTTGATAAAATAATTATGCAATTTATAAAACTAATGAAATATACTTTCTTTACAGACAGAGCTCTTCTGGTGCATTTAAAATGTTTTTCTATAAGAAATATACTCTACCCCTGAATTCTCAGGAACTTTTCCACTGTGTCACAGGCCAGAAGGATGAATCTGCCTCTTCCCTCCAGAGAGTAAGGATTTTCCTTACTCCTTGGCTTTCTTCATTGCCTGCGGAAGCTCAGCTCTGGGACAACTAGAGAAAAGCCACAAAGTAATCATAGTCTCTAAACCCTTGCAGAGACCAGGTGGCTTCTCTCATTTACTGGAGGAGGCTGAATGCAATTGGTAATGCCTCATACAAGGTATTCATATAATGCTAAAGTTAGGTCCCAGGATATAATAAATGAGAGTTAGTGACATCTGTGTTAGTCTCTGCCCTGTCATCAAAAGACCTGTGAGGCAGTCACTTTCCCTCTGGGCCTTGGCTTTCTCATCTCTAAAATGAAGCTTGCCATCTCTTCCTTGCTCTCCCCCAGAGGATCACTGCAGGACCCTAATGAGAAAATGTACATGAAGAGCCTGGTAAAATGATAAACCACAACAGGTATCATGAATCATGACTGTCAGACACTGCAGGTTGACTGACCCAATATCCACCCCCAACTTCTTCATTTCTTAACTGCCATTTCTATAGGAGCTAAGAATGAAAATATTTTAACTGTTTCATCTTTCCTTACAGATCCAGATAGCCTGTAACACAGAGGTAAAGCTTTCCAAGTAGATGTGGCTAAGTGCTGTCTTTCCCTCCTTTCTGCCTTCAACAAGGATGTGATGTCTGGAGCTGCAGCAGCCATCCTATAACCATGAAACAAAAAGTACAATGTGGACAGCCAACATGTGGAGGATGGTGGAGAAAAAAGATAAAAGGAGTCTGGGGACCAGGTGCGGTGGCTCACGCCTGTAATCCCAGCATTTTGGGAGGCCAAGGTAGGTGGATCACTTGAGTCCAGGAGTTTAAAACCAGCCTGAACAACATGGCAAGACCCTATCTCTACAAAAAATACAAATAATTAGCCAAGCATGGTGGCATGTGCCTGTAGTCCCAGCTACTCAGGAAGGTAAGGTGGGAGGATCACTTGAGCCTGGGAGGCAGAGGTTGCAGTGAGCCAAGCCCGTGCCACTGCACGCCAGCCTGAGCAACAGAGTCAAACTCTGTCCCCTGTCTCAAACAGAAAACAACAACAACAACAACAAAAGAGCCTGAATCCCTGATTTCATCATGGAAAGGCTGAATCAATTTCAGAAACCTGCATCAAAGAAAACAATAAGAAAAGCAATTCTCTGTTTGTTTAAATTACTATTAGTCAGATATTTTGTTGCTTACAGACAAATATATTCCTGAAATAGGGATAGAAGCCAGAATAATCATTTTAAAGCCTAAATCAGATCATGTTCCTCCTCTGCTTTAAAACATTACAGTGGTTTCCCACCTCACACAGGGTACTGTCAGCCTTTCCAAGACCCTAAAGCCCTACTCAGTCAGGCCCCCTTATGAACTTTCTGACCTCATCTCCTGCTATCTTCCCAGACGTGGTCCATTCCAGCCAAAATAAGCTTCTTGGTCTTGAATCAACACACCAGGCACACTCCTGCCTTGAGTCTTTTCATTTTTACTGATTCTTCAATTTGGAACACTCCTCCCTTAAATATTTACCACCCTCTCCCTCTCTACTGCCAGGACTTTGCTGAAATGTCACCTCTCAGTGAGGTCTTTATTTCACCCTCTATCAGACTACCTCCCCAGCCCTCAGCACTGTTTTACTAGTCTATAACCTTTTTAATTAATATAAATCCCATATATATCCTGCAAAGTGTAGGTTTTACATAAAAAGTTGATTTAAGACTTGAGGGTTTATTTTTTTCAGAACCATAAAAATGTAACATTTTAAAAAACATTTTATTATTTATGTCAGGGCAACTACGAAGAGAGATTTGAAGTACCTTGCAAAACAAGCAATATGCATAGTCAGTCATCACCTAAATAAACATAACTAAAAACCATAAAGAATAAAGATTTTAATGGTGATTCTCCTTTGTATTTACTCTAAGCTCTTTGAGTGGGCTCAAACTCCTTGGTAAGACCCAGGAAAAAATAATTAACTATGACAACTGGCTGCCATCATTGCTAGAGATGGCAATTTACAGAAGTACCTATACTAAGTAAATACAGGCATGTCTCATTTTATTGTGCTTTACTTCATTGTGCTACACAGATACTGTGTTTTTCACAAATTGAAGGTTTGTGGCAACCCTGAATCAAGCAATCTGTCAGCACTGTTTTCCCAACAGCATGGGCTCACTTTGTGTCTCTGTATCACATTTTGGTAACTGTCACAATATTTTAAACTTTATCATTATTATTATATCTGTTATAGTAATCTGTGATCAGTGATCTTTGATATTACTCTTGCAATTATTTTGGAGCACCACAAACCACACCTATTTAAGAAAGTGAACTTAATTGATGAATGTTGTGTCTTCTGACTGCCCTACCAACCAGCTGTTCCCCTTTTCTCTCTCTCCTCAGGTCTTCCAATTCCCTGAGACACAACAATAGTGAAATTAGGCCAACTAATAATACTATAATACTAATAACTAATACAATGGCCTCCAAATGTTCAAGTGAAGGGAAGAGTTTCACATCTCTTACTTTAAATCAAAAGCTAGAAATGATTAAGCTTAGTGAGGAAGGCATGTCAAAAGCCAGGATAGGCCAAAAGCTAGGCCCTTAGCACCAGTTAGCCAAGTTGTGAATGCAAAGAAAATGTTCTTGAAGGAAATTAAAAGTGTTACTACAGTGAACACACTAATGATAAGATAGCAAAATAGCCTCTTGCTGATTTGGAGAAAGTTTTAGTGGTCTGGATAGAACATCAAACCAGGCACAACACTCCCCTAAATCAAAGCCTAATTGAGAGCAAGGCCCTAACTCTCTTCAATTCTGTGAAGGCTGAAAAAAGTGACGAAGCTGCAGAAGAAATGTCTGAAGTTAGCAGAGGTTGGATCATGCAGTTTAAGGAAAGAAGTCACCTCTACAACATAAAAGTGCCAGGTGAAGAAGCAAGTGCTAATGGAGAAGCTGCAGTAAGCTATCCAGAAGATCCAGCTCAGATCACTGATGAAAATGGCTACAGTAAACAACAGATTTTCAATGGAAATAAAATGGCCTTCTATTGGAAGAAGATGCCGTCTAAGACTTTCATAGCTCAAGAAGAGAAATAAATGCCTGGCTTCAAAGGACAGGTTGACTCTCTTGTTAGGGGCTAAGGTAGTTGGTGACTTTGGGTTGAAACCAATGCTCATTTACCATTTCAAAAATCCTTGAGCCCTTAAGAATTATGCTATACCTAACTCTGCCTGTGCTCTATAAATGAAACAACAAAGCCTGGATGACAGCACATTTGTTTACAGCATGGTTTGCTGAATATTTTAAGCCCACCGTTGAGACATACTGTTCAGAAAAAAATATTCCTTTCAAAATATTACCGCCATAATATTATGAAATGTCATTGACAATGACAATCTTGGTCACCCAAGAGCTCTGAGGGAGATGTACAAGGAGATTTTCATGCCTATCAACATAGCATCCATTCTGCAACCCATGGATCAAGGAGTAACTTCAACTGTCAAGTCTTATTATTTACGACAGACATTTCATAAGGCTATAGCAGCCATAGATAGTGATTCCTCTGATGTATCTGGGCAAAGTAAATTGAAAATAGTCTGGAAAGGATTCACCATTCTAGATGACATTAAGAACATTTGTGATTCATGGGAGGAGGTAAAAATATCAACATTAACAGGAGTTTGGAAGAAGTTGACTCCAACCCTTGTGGATGGCTTTGAGGGGCTCAAGATTTCAGTTAAAAAAGCAACTGCAGATGTTATAGAAACAGCAAGAGAACTAGAATTAGAAGTAGAGCCTGAAGAGGTGACTAAATTGCTGCAGGTCTCATGATAAAACTAACAGATGATGAGTTGCTTCTTATAAATGAGCAAAGAAAGTATTTTCTTGAGATGGAACCTACTCCTGGTGAAGATGCTGAGAACATTATTAAAATTACAACAAAGGATTTAGAATTTTACGTAAATTTAGTTGACAAAGAAGCAGCAGAATTTGAGAGAACTGACTCCAGTTTTGAAAGAAGTTCTACTGTGGGTATAAGACTACCAAACAGCATCACATGCTACAGAGAAGTCTTTCATGAAAAGAAGCGTCAATTGATGCAGCAAACTTCATTTTTATTTCAAGAAATTGCCATAGCTCCCTCAACCTTCAGAAACCACCTTCATGATCAGTCAGCAGCCATTATCATCAAGGCAAGACTCTCCACCAGCAAAGATTACAATTCGCTGACAGCTCAAATGATCATTAGCATTTTTTAGCAATTAAGTTTTTTTAACTGAGTTATGCACATCTTTTAGACATAATCCTACTGCACACTTACTAGACTACTGCACACTAACTAGACTACAGTATAGTGTACATATAGCTTTTATACGCATTGGGAAACCAAGAAATTCATGTGACTCGCTTTATTGAAATATTTGCTTTATTTTGGCAGTCTAGAACTGAATCTGCATATCTCCCAAGGAAGGGGTTCCTCCAATCAAGCAATAGCTTCAGAATTCAACAGGTGACACAGGTAACCCAAAACATTTAGCTTGTTTACTATGGCTCACAAAGTCAACAGGAAATTCAACAACTCTACAAACAGTTTCAGAGAATGCTTAGTATACTGTCTTTTGCTTCTACAGCCAAAGCCACTCCCATCATCTCACCTATAGTTATCCCTTGTTAAATTAAGTTTGGCCTAAAGTTGCCTCCTTACCTATTTTAAGTTCAGCCCAAAGGTTTCTCTGTACACATTAAACTGTAACTGACTGGATGTGTAAACAGACTGTAACCTACTCTGGTGCCAATCACCAAGTAATCAAGGGCCCAACTGTTCAAATTGTATCAAATAAGGCACTGTTTCTGTACCTCATTTCTATCTTCTGTATGCCACTTTCCTTTTTCTGTCCATAAATTTTCTTGCACCACTGCTGCACTAGTCTCTGAGACTACTCTGGTTCAGGAGTCTGCCTGATTCACAAATCATTCTTTGCTCAATTAAACTCTGCTAAATTTAAACTAAGGTTTTTCTCTTAACACCATCAAACCTATTTACTTCATCTGCAAATGATATTCTCCTTATGCATCATTAACGTAGAGAGAGGAACCACATTATAAGGGTAACTTTAATGTAGCCCTCTACCCCACTTTGCTGAATGTTAGCTAGGTATTTTTATCTGTACACGAGTGGGATTCTTCATCTCATCTCTGCTGCTCACCATATGAACTCATTCTCCCTTTCTTGTCTATCAGAACAATTTAAGTTCAGCACTTTTTAGAAAGCCCTCAACACAACTGCTTTACATGGATTTTTACCAAATAAAATTTGTGATTTGGTGGAGTTTTGATTTTGCCAAATAAAAAATATAATCCTATAATCATACTCACAATTCCCTATGAACTACTGATTGTTTTTAAGAAATATGTAATGAGCTCTAAATATGTCCCAGAAACTGTACTAGGTACTAAGGATATGTAATGTACTAGGCAGTAAGGTATGACCAAAGCCTCCATTTCAGGGAGTTTACAGTTTACCATTATTCCTTTTTTTTTTCTTTTTATTTGAGACAGAGTCTCGCTCTGTAGCCCAGGCTGGAGTGCAGTGGTGTGATCTCGGCTCACTGCAACCTCCGCCTCTTGGGTTCAAGCAATTCTTCTGCCTCAGCCTCCCAATTCTCCTCCTCAGCTGGGATTACAGGTGCCCATCACAACTCCCGGCAAATTTTTGTATTTTTAGTAGAAACAGGGTTTCACCATCTTGGCCAGCTGGTCTTGAATGCCTCAAGTGATCTGCCCGCCTCAGCCTCCCAAAGTGCTGGGATTACAGGCGTGAGCCACCATGCCCAGCCAGTTTACTATTATTCTTACATATTAATTTTATCTTTATTTTATCAGATTGTATTACTAAAATTAAACTAAAAGGGCTATTGTATTTTTATTTTATGTATGCAAGGCATACCACATAATATTTTGATATGCAGTGAAATGGTTACTATAGTCAAGCAAATAAAACCTATCATCACACATAGTTACCCCCCCTTTTTTGTATGTGGTAAGAGCACCTAAAATCTACTCCTAGCAATTATCACAAACACAATACAATATTATTAATTATAGTCTGCTGTACATCATAGCTTTAGACTTATTCATCCTATACATATACAACTTTATATAACCTTTGACCTACATCTCTCCATTATAGGGCTATGTTATTGAACGCTAAATTATGCATACAATTCCTAGTGTTCAAAACCAAGGATAGAAACAAAAATTTATCATATCACATTGGTAATCATACCATTCAGGAGAGAAAGCTTTTTTCTTTAAAAAAAACAGATTTTTAAAAAATTAATCACGAGTCATTATACTAATGACACTGCAAAACATTTCATAGAAGTCTTGACTAACAAAGCTAACAGATGGACAAAGCACACACACACACTCCTTCAAAGAGCCACCTGATAAAATATCCTTTCAATCTGAATAACTTTAGCACCAGTTAGTGGCAGAATCAAAGATTCGATTTTGGTCTAAATTGCAATCCCTAAACTTTATTGAAGTAATAAATTAGTATGAGCTTCCAAACCCTTTTCCAATTAAAAACAAAATACATATATACATATTGCAAATAGCTGAAGTTTAAATGAACTTAAACAGCAATATTTAAGCGGAAACTTTTAAACTTTTTAAAAAACAAAATAGAAATAATGTCAACTGATTCACACCGTTCTTAGGGCTTTTAAGGAGAAAGCATCTCCTCCCTGACTTGCTTAATTTAGGTTTGATTCCTGAAGTCTGTCATCATCTCTCTTTTTAGGGAATCATCTCTTTCTCTGTGGTTGTCTTTTTTGATCCTGCCAGATGTAGGTCTCTCTCCAGAATTGGTTCTCAGTAATCCCTTCAAGGAGACCCCCCAGGAGGCCCATAAATTCACCTAGCATAAAAACATGTTTAGAATCTCCCTAATACTGGAAGAGGTTTTTGCTCTAAGAAATTATTTTAAATTTCCCTCCTGGCTTCTGATTAATGCCATATCTGAAAGGAACAAGCCTATTAATTTACAGCTCCTTCGCTGGTTGCCCCTGGCAACCACCTTTAGCCACTTCTCTCCCTCAGAGCCATGCATTCCTTTATATCATCAGAGAACTGCATATAATTTTAATTGGCTTTATAACATCTTCTTAGTATGAAATGAAATAAGAACAATGTACAGAGGGAAGGACAAAATACCAAACGTCGCATGTTCTCACTCATAGGTGGGAATTGAACAATTAGAACACTTGGACACAGGAAGGGGGACATCACACACCGGGGGCTGTTGTGGGGTGGGGGGAGGCGGGAGGGATAGCATTAGGAGATATACCTAATGTAAATGACGAGTTAATGGGTGCAGCACACCAACATGGCACATGTATACATATGTAACAAACCTGTACGTTGTGCACATGTACCCTAGAACTTAAAGTATAATAATAAAAAAAAAAGAAACAAACCTAGGATTGACAAATTTGGATTCTATTTAACCACATAGGAACTTTCTTTTTTCAACTGGCAAGTGTGTTGGAGGTTACTTTGAGCAGTGAGATCGCATTTCAAAAAGCAGACTGACATTGCTAATAAGATATTCAAGGTTATGCAGAGAATACAAACTGTCAATGAGGGATTTAATGGCTCCACTGCATTCCTTTATACTCTTTGAAAACATCTTCTAGCTTCAAAACAGAAATAATTCTACATTGAAGAAATACGCATATACAGTCTTCATGTTTTAGGAAAGAAGATGATAAAAGATTCTTGGGAGATAGGATTTTCAGTCTTGGTGTCTCTACGTCTCTGAGCAGTCACATTCTGCAGGAGGAGGGAGGGTGTTGTTTCTAAATGTTCAGACTGTTCAACTGAGAAGACATTGTGTGTCTCCGTACAGCAGGTGCATGACATCATTTCACCCATGAGGCCGAGAGTTAATGCTCTTCAAAAACAAACTTTTAACATTACATTTTTAGGTTTACATCTTAAAGTCATTTTAGAAACTGGACCTGGACTCATAACTAACCCACCATTATGGCCACAATTAGACTTCAGGACATCCTTTCCATTTCAGTGATCACTTGCAGTTTCTTGTCTTAGCACTTATCAAATTAGATTCCCTAAAGGGAGAATTGTATTGGCCTACGTCACCTTTTCTTGCCAGGCAATGGTTCATAAGTCACTAACTACTGCTTAGCTCTTTTGTCAGGAGACTCCCGTATTCCAATCCACTGTGGTCTAGGGAAAATTAGGATCATTTGGTTAAGACCATGGCTCCCAGGTGTATCTCCTCAGTGGGAACTTTAATCAAAAAAGTCCTTCTCACAAGGAACAAAGGGTAGAGAAATGCCATGAAACATATCTGATTTAGCCCATCATCAGCAACATTCTAAACCAGTTAATGGGAAAATTAATCATATTTGGACTATTCCACCAAGGTTACAGTCTTGGAGGCAAAATACTGAGCTATTTCATAGACGGTATGCACATCTATATAGATACTTTAATTAGATACCCTGAGACATATAAATTTAGTTAGGCGGACTGTCTCTTTTAAGAAAACTGGTGCATACCTAACCGCCTCTTACAAAGAAAGTGGGGAACAACCCTTCTGATATAATTTGAAGCATAGCTAGTTCTTCCTACCTAAATATATCCTTCAACTTTATTTACTTCTAATGCAAGTGGCAATATTCCTGGAAAAATTTATAAAATGAATCTGATAGCATTCAAACCCTTTCTTGGTCTAGGCAATCATTTTATTCATTGTTCAGTCAGATGGTCCAAAACATTTGCCTTCTTTAAATCTTAGGTTTAATGCTGCTTCCTCATCCCTCAAAATGATACTGCTCCGTGCTTGATAGAGAGATTGATATAATGAAGTTGATCTAGGCATAATTCCTCATCTTGAGTGTCTCTCCCAAAATTATCATAGGCTTAACCACCAATTCACTTTAAAAATGCCCTTCCATTTTCCCCAACCTTCTCTTTTTTCCTCTGCCTCTGAGGAAAAGATAACCACCTCTTATTCATGGCCTATAAACCTATTTTTGAGTCCATCTAATCTCACTTTTGAACCTTTAGTCTCTCACTCCCTATTGTTTTCTTCTCCCACCCCATAAATTTATTACCTCAACTATCCTAATCTTAAACCAATATAAAACAACAATGACAAATTAAATCCCCATGAATATGGGTCCTCCTCCATATGGAATGACTGTTTTAGTACTTCACTAACATTGATATAAATCTCATCTCCCTTACAGGCAATCATGAAAAAAAATGTAATCATACCAAGTACATCCTGGATTTTGTAGTGTTACGGAAATGTGTGGGGATAACAGGAGGTGTCACGTACCATGAAGCATAGAGTTTCACTCAGAAAAATCCCCATTAAACACATCTCCTTTCCAGTCTCTCTCCTTGATCCCTAGTCACCATATCTCACCTCACAATCCTCCCACTGCAGAGTGCTGAGACCAGTCTTTTCTCTTTCTCACTTATTTTTCTTGGAGAGCAAAATTTTTGGCTTCCATATAAAACATAGCTCAGCTAAGCTCCAACAGCTCCCTCTTACTGTCTTCTCAGAAATGTTCTTCCCATCCTACAAAGAAATTCTCGTGAGTTGCAAAGAAGATAAAATCTTCTTCATATCACAGTCTGAAAATCTCCTCTGACCCCAGATACCAGAGATCTACCACTGTAACATTTTTTCACACCACAAAATTTCTCCAGAAAATATATGTCCTCTGCTGTTTTCTAATCACCAACTCCCTAATCCCCTGCAATAAATATTTTCAACTCAATTGCCACTTAAAATTTGCATGGCCCTATTTAATGACAAAAGCCCACTTTTCTGTTCCATAATTTGGTGAAAATACTGTCTACTTAATTGGGTTGTTATAAAAATAAAATGAGTTAAAACACATAAAGCCACCAAACAGTGCCTAAATCTGAGAGGCAATAAAGAAAAGTAACTCTCCCCCACCAAACATGACTATCTTCACTGTTAACGTCTCCTTTTCTCTCAGTGACCATTCCTTTAACTCTATTTCTTGCTTGTTTTGTCTCTCCCATTTACAAAATAAAAGCATATGTCAAAGTTAGTTAAGAGTTCATACTTCCTCCTGTTCCTCCTCCTCGTTGTCTCTCTCTCAGAAAACTCACCAATTTTGTGGCTTCAACATATACAGCTCTAACCTTCCTCCCATGCTTTTGTGACTTTCTCATCTCTTAAAATTTCTATATGTCTAAAAATAAATCTTGTGTCTGAAACCTGCTCCTCTCCAGACATACTTTTCTCTATAAATGTTGTCATTGTTCTAGCAAGTAAAATTACTCAACAACTTCGCCCAAAGCTTAGAAGATGAAGACCACAGGCTCCTGAGCTCTCATGTTGAAGCCCTCCACAATCAGCCTCCAACCTTAGCTGTTTCCTGCACTGTTCCCCAGAAACACTAGGTTAAACTCTGCTGCTGAGCCTCTGTTCTTGAGGGCCCTCTTGCCAAGAATACTCTCCCAGTTTCCCGCAACTGTAACTTAAATTCTAAGTTCCTTCAAAGACTAGACAAATTCCACCTGTTCCTGAATCCTTCTACAGTTGCCCCAAACTTTCCCCAGAAAATTTGCAATGATTATTGTTGCTATAACACCTGCTCTTTTCCCATTTATTTCCTTAGATGGTTTGGTAAAAGAAAAGAAAGACAATGCCAGAAGACAAGAAGAAAAAATCAAACATCTATGAAGCTTCCCACGTATCCTAGTCACTGGGCTAGCAGCTTTCACTAATCTTCCCAATAGTCCTGAGAGGTAGATACTACTGTTGCATGTTAAATTCTTCCAGGGATAGAGCCTTCATATTTCTCATATTTGGAAATCATTCGATGATACTTGCTTTCTCATTTTTTGTTCCAAATTCCCAAGGTACTTGGGATAGTTTGTACCTAAACTTCGTTATAGCAGAATCATACAGCTATTCATAAGCTATTTCACTATACTCTTCTTATTTAGGCTGTCATCCTTTAGCCAAGTGAGAGGCTGGGTCCCTAACTTTAGTCCATAAAGCTGTCACAACAATCCTCATGGACAATTTACAGTGACATGCCCATAGGCATGTCAAAAAGAAATACATACAAATGTCATAGTTAAATACTTGGTGGCAATTTATTCTGCTTTTTCTGCTGCTGTAATTTTAATGAGCACATTGCACATTCTCATATGGGACCTGCAATCCATTAGAGAATGTTGCTGTATACACTATGTAAGCCCTTGCCTGTCAGAGAGATTTGCTGACAAAATGAAAATTATGCCTTATTTCTTCAATGTCACAAGAGGTAGAATGGTGCAAACTTTTGTAAATGACTTACAAAATGGATGCCATAATCCATTTACACTTATTTTTAAAGTAAAGACCACCCCAAAATGAAAGAGTGAGATTATCACACATTCTTAAACAACTAAAATACATCTGCTACAGCAAATGTTGGCAGAATTCTCTCAAAAACTAAGCTTCTCTCCTTGTAACAATGGAGATTCTGGGGAAAAAAGTGATATATAATTTTTCACATTTATTTACACATTTTCTTTTTAATCTTAAAGGGATTTTAATAAAGTGACAAGAAAGCGGGTACCTCTAAGCCACTTTTTATAAATCTATACATTATCCTAATTTATTTCTAAACCATACATCAGGGGTCCCCAATCCCTGAGCTGCAGACCGATACTGCTGCCTGTTAGGAACCAGGCCACAAAGCAGGAGGTGAGCTGCATGCCAACGAGCATTACCACCTGAGCTCCACTTCCTGTCAGATCAGCAGTGGCATTACATTCTCATAGGAGCATGAACCCCATTGTGAACTGTGCATGTGAGCAATCTAGGTTGCATGCTCCTATGAGAATCTAACTAATGCCTGATGATCTAAGGTGAAAATTTCTTCCCTAAACCATATGCCCACCTCCACCCATCCCCCGATCCATGGAAAAATTGTCTTCCATAAAACCGGTCCCTGGCACCAAAAAGGTTGCGGACCACTGCTATAGATACCTTTGAATAAACTAAAACATATCATTTCCTTCTTTCAGTTGATTTCTCTGATCTGCAAAGTTCACAGAGAAGAATGTACAAAGTACTTTGACAACAGAGTGAACAAAAAAAGAAACTGAAGACAAAACGTAATAGCAAAATCCATGAGTCTATAGGGCTCAGATTTCATCTTCTTCATATTCACAATACAATTTACTGTAGTAATTACATGTTATGTTGTAGAAACCACTTCCTTCGCACAGAAGAAACCCTTTTAAGAATGAGTATGTCTGTATGGATATTTTCTTAAGTCACCAAGGTAACTTTTACTCCTTCAGCATATGAAATTTGTTAACTGCTTGAAACAGTGCCATGGAAGAACTACAGTAGAACAAGAAGCAGTATTTGGTTCATTTTTAAATGGATATTGAAGAAAAATACAAAAACCTGAGAAAATGATTACATTGGTATTCACAGCATAGAAAAATTGATCCAGGTAATATCACCTACCAATCCCTTCCTGGGTAACACCTGGTGAAATAGCTTTCTATTGTGATTACAGAAGATCATGTTCAGCCAGAAAATACAGGTTTCAGACTTTTTCATACTGATTTGACTATCCCTTGTGATATACGTAAGCTTTCATTTTTGACCTGAGGCTGCTGAGATTCTTAGCGAATATATTATTTTTGAGAAGGTTAAATTGCCCACTCTCTGATGTCAATAACATGTATGATGATTGTCCCAGAAAAAAAAAAATCTATTTTCTACATCTCTCTATTATTTTTTCCAAATTAAATATTGAATAAAAATAAACAATGAAGCACAGCTGCTCTCAAATGGCTTCTTATTAACATAGCTGGAATTTAAAAATGCTTCAGCAATAATTCACTTTTACAGAGAATACTCTTGGTTAAATAAAATTGGGAAAACTGGTGAAATCCTGACTTTGTGAATTGAAGCCTGTACGGGTATTAGGTAACTGGATATAATCACCAGTGCTTTACACATAAACACCATTTCATACAGAAGAAATCAGCTTTACACAGGGTTTGTTATTAAGTTATATCCTGACATACATATTTTTTCTATTTCTAGATAAATAAATCAAGCAACAGAAGTATATGGTTCCCCCAGAGCCACACAACTTATCAATGTGGCAGAACAGAGCCAGAATCTAGACAGAAACTTTGAATGGTGTTCTTTGGGTTGTCCCTCAACAATTTAAATAACAAATGACATATTCTTTTTTTTTTTTGAGAAATATTGTTTTCTTATCAATTAGCTGGCCACATATTTCCTATATTTTTTTTTCAAAAAAATCATAGCACAGACTTTCTATGGCAAATTTTCTCTCAGGACCTCTGTAAAATGCTCTGCCACTATATGCTAACTCAGAGAGACAAACCTTTCACTCCCTTTCAGAGACAGAAATGGTATGTGCTTGCGGTTTTTGGGTATTCACAGAACAGTTACTCTATCATATCATGCTGCTATCTCCTCATAGCATTTATACCCAGTCTGTCATTATTTTACGTGTTTGTATATTATTTGTCTCCCACTACAAGTTCCTTAAGGGCAGGGCTGCTATCTTAATCATGTAACCCCAGAAATTCACGGGACCATGACTGACACATAGTAGGTGATCAAGACATTTTTCCTGAATAAATGACTTATTCATAAGACCCGCTTAGCAACTGGGCAATTTAGATACACTGCTTCCTTTTCTAAAGGGAGCTGAAGTTCACAAAACATAGCCACCTCTCAGATTCAACACCTCAAAGTAAAATATAACTTTTAAAGTTACACAAATGGAAGACAGCCATCATTTAAGGCAGTTTCTTTCCGAAGGTCATTAAGCACAAATAAGGTGGAGATCTCTGGCTTTCTCTGAGAGAGTCAGTGACAACTCAAAGGCATGAGACTTGCTGTGATCAGAGCTCAGGTAATCATTTCTTTTCCCTACATATAGGTGGGTGCCTGCTCACATCTGTTCTGAATAAAAGGCCTCTCTGTGCCTCAGTTTCTTCATCTGTAAAACTGGGTAATAATATAGCCTGTCCCATAAGGTTAATATATCAATACGAAGATTTGAAAATACATAAAATATATGTTATACACAGAGAAAGACAGAGAGACAGAGAGAGAGAGAGATACACACACTATCACAGTGCCTAGCACAGAAGGTTCATAGTAGTAATTGTTATCAGGTGTAATGGGCAGCCTATTACTGGTTTTTCCTCCCAAGTCACCCACTTTCCCACAAATGTATAATTTATGTTAAAATACAAAAGAGAGAGTCAAGTTCTTGCTACCTTCCAAAGTTGACACATTTTTTTCAAAGCTATATTCTAACACCCATAATTACTATTAATTTTACAAAACTCCTTTCAAAACTCTGTTCAAGTACATATAATTAAAACTTTAAAACACTCTCTAGAAAAGAGATTAAAATAAAAGTTAAAATGTTAATTTGACAAATGAGAAAGTTTTTATTGGGAGCACCTTTCCCAACATAATATAAACAAGTAGTTTGAGAAAAGAGGTTTGGAAAAGTGTGTCAATGTCCCTCATCCTCTGATGCTGGGAAGAACATCAGTGGCACATTACAAAAAGCAATTTGTTAATATATTTAAAAAATGCTTTCAAATGTGTATACAATGGAGTGCAGTGGTGTGTGCCTATGGTCTAAGCTACTCAGGAAGAACCCAGGAGTTCAAGGCTGCAGTAAGCTATGATTATGCCACTGAACTCCAGGCTGGGTGACAGAGCAAGAACGTATCTCTAAATTAAAAAGAAAAAAAGGAAAAGAAGAGAAAACTGTTAAATATAGATGTAAAATTTTAATTAAAAAATACGTATGCATCTATATACTTGTAATTCCACTTCTTGTAATTTATTCTAAAATTATAACTGCTACAAACTTAGATATAACAATTATGCTGAGTGTTTAAAAGAATAAAAAGCTGAAAACAAGCTGAAAGTGTAACAGTTTATATAATTGTTGGTAGAAATATACAATAAAATGCTTTAAGCTTTTAATAATAAAATGTTAAAGATGTGGAAAATAATTATAATATACAAAGTTAAAAAAGTAGGTGCAAGACGTATAGGGTAAAATTTTTACTTAAAGAGACTGTGTATATCTTATTCACAATACATCTGTATAGTATTCAATATGTTTAAGATACTGTTCTAAGCACTTTACAAATATTAACTAATTTAATCTTGATTTTAACCCTATAAGAAAATGATATTATTACCACTTTACAAATGAGGAAAATGGAGACACAAAAAGAGCGGCACACCTACCTGATGCCACACAGCTAGTAAATGGACATATCAGGACTTGAACTCAAGTATTCTGGCTCCACAGTCCATGCTTTTATTCACTGATTATTTTTCCTAAGGTTGATTTTTGCCTATCCATATGTTTAATATGCTACAGTGAATTTGTATTATTTTCATTACAATCAAAGTGATTTTAAGTGTATTGTAAGAGATATATATTTTAAAAGAACATTTCCTGGGTAACTGTTTCCAACAGCTACATGTTTTTTTCTTGCCATAGCATGTTTTTATTTTCATGAAAAATGTCCTAAACATAAATAATCAGTACAGATGTACAAAATTTTTATTTGATACAATTTTATCTAATCTGCATTCTCCTATCTCTTCTTAGCTTTAACAGAAAAAGGAGCTTCCTGCTAATTATACAGGTTTTACAGAGTTTTTTTAAATAAAATAGAGTTTGCATCACAGAACTTTTATACTTTTCTTATCTAAAATGTTTTCTAGGTTAACAGTTTAATTGTGATCATCCATTGCCTACCTATTATAAAGGAAGAAAGTAATAAACATGTAATAAATCTAAAAAATTCTGAGTAGGATTAACACTGAGGTGAGTTTATGGCCGTGGCTAGTCTGATACTATTCCAGTATTTGGGGACATGGACATTCTTTTAGAATAAGACCAGTCTATACACCGGGGCCTGTCGTGGGGTGGGGAAGGTGGGGAGGGATAGCATTAGGAGACATACCTAATGTAAATGATGAGTTAATGGGTGCAACATACCAACATGGAACATGTATACATATGTAACAAACCTGCATGTTGTGCACATGTACCCTAGAACTTAAAGTATAATTTAAAAAAAAAAGAAAATGAAGATGAGGAAGAAAAAAAAAATTGAAAAAAAAATAATCCTATTGGTATCCATAAGGAAAGTATCATTGTCACATACAACCTAACAAATAAGGCAAAAACCTAAAGGAAAGTTGTGCTCCAAATGAGAACAATGTACTTCTGATATTTAAAACACAGTTTGCAAAAAATCCAAAGTTTTCAAATTTTATTTATGAGACATCTGTTTTGAAATGTGCCATGTGGGTTTTAAGATAACCTCTCCGTGCAGCTTTCACAATGATCATAACTAACACTGTGACACAGTTCAGTTGAATTTCAAAACCGATTGTTCATATATTCAGGGGGATTTGCAATATAATCTATTTCAGGATTATAAAAAAGAGCAGCCTTTCAAGAAGTCTCAATACGACCCCAAGGTGTTCTTCAAATTCAAAGCATTTTAGTTCCCTCAAACATTTCTGAAAATTTAGAAATTACTAGATAAGTTATTCCTTTCCAATCCTCGATAAAGATTTATAAGCACATAGATTGTAAGTACAAACCTTCCAAAATAGGAAAATATCCTTCTCAATATACGCCATTGCTCTTATGACTTTGATACCCAGGGGATCTCCAACTAAATTGGTTCACTAACGGCAGTACCTCCAGGGTGTATATAACTCACATTAAAAATATGTCACTAGTTATCAGGGATGCAATTTTTCAACAATTTCTTTGATCTGCGTCACTTCTTTTCACTTACAATTACCTAACCTGGTGCAAAAAACTTCCAAGAACATTTAAAACTAATCACACCCAAATTTAAAAGTTGTATTTGCCCCATCTGAACTAACATTCATGTTGCAATAGTTCTGTTGCATTTTCATTCTATAATAAGATGTTAAAATAATATTCTTCCTCTCACTTTTGACTAAGGCCCTTGGATAGGTACCAACCACTCCCAAATTCCATGTTTGTGGTATAATTTTTAAAAGTACATTTGGCCTTTGTCCCGAGTTCTTGGCACAGTGTTTCATAAACCCTTGGAATTTCCTTAATGATAAGAGTGTCTTTTATTATTCATACAAACCCCTTTGGACCATACCTGAATTTATGCCAGCAAAGTGGTTCATGGATGTGGGGTGGGGAGGCTGGCTGCCAGAAAAACAAATTATGTAATTAGGGGGTTGGAACTTTCACCTTCCCAATTTCTGGGCAGAGGAAGGGGACTAGAGATTGAGATCAATCACATGGCCAATGATTTAACCAATTATATCCATAAAATGAAACCTAGATAAAAACTCTCAGCAATAAGGCTTGGAGAGCTTACTGGTTGGTGAACATATTGATATGCTAGAAAGACCAGTTGGAGAGGGCACAGAAGCTCTGTACCCAGGACCCCTCCAGACCTTGCTGCGCTGAGTATCTCTTCATCTGGCTGGTCATTTGTAACCTTTATAATAAAATATCATTGTAACTATAGTAACTACAGCGCTTTCCTAAGTCTTGAATCAATTCTAACAAATTTTTGAACCTGATGGGAACTTCCATATTTATAGTCAAATTGAGCAGAAGAGCAGGTAGCATGGGGACCTAGGATGTCCAGCTCGCATCTGAAGGGAAGGCAAGTGTATGAGACTGAGCTTCTTAACCTGTGGTGTCTGCACAAACTCACAGTAGTGTCAGAAGTGAACTGAATTGTAGGACACCCAGTTGGTGTCAGGGACCACCAAAAAAGACCTTAAAGGAGGTGATCAAGAACTTTTGCACCCTGACCTGGACACCACCTCTAAGGTTGGAAAGACTGGGAGGAGAGGTGTGAAGTTATAACAGTTCGTGGTATTCCTTGGGGGCAGGGAGTAATTTTCTGCACCTCATGCCCAAGGAAAGGGATATCAGAGAGACTCATATGTGTCCCCTAGAATGAAAGTGAGCCTACACCTGAGAAATCTAAAGCGGAAGAGACTGTCTGGCAACCTGCTCTGACAACATTGCCAAGAGTGGTCCCTGCACTGGGGGAAGAAAGCAATTACACAATGTGTGGGGCAAAGGGCATGGGACTATTTCCCCTGGGTCAGACGTGGGCCACACTTGACAGGGCCAGCAGTTGTTGCCTTAAATGCTGCCCGAGGGTCCTTGAGACAGGGTAGAGACACCAGCAGTGTCTGGGAAATGAGGGTAGAAACATAAGTGACCAGCCAAAGAGGTTTATTCACCCACATCACGGAACTCAGGAGAGAGATTCCCAGCAACACTACAGAAGGTCTCCAAAGAACCCACAAAAACACCCACAACTGCCTGGAGTGTCCCTGAGGGGCTGTCTGTGACTGCCACACTCAATTATGACTTCTCCTGTTCCTTACCCTCCTTGTTCTTTCTTTTCTGCAGGAGCCAGTGCATTGGGAGGCTGGATTATTGCCCTGGACTGGATTGAGACTGCTCTGGGGGCACTAAAAGTAACCAGATAAATAAATGTATTTATACCTAAAAGATGCCAGAAAAGTCATGAGATATGGCCTCTTTTTGGTCAAAGAAGGTGGGAAAGGGCGAACAAGCCCAATAGTACTGAAGCTAAAAATAGAATACTTTGAAGAAACCTAGTTATTCAATGAGATAAAGATCTTCCTCAAATTTGTCAGCATTGCTAATATGTATTGTTTTATTATGTGCCACACATATTTAATCTACATGATAACCCTATCAACTATAGGTACTATTATCATCTTTGTATTTGATAAGAAAACTAAAACTTAAAGAAATGAAATAGCTTACCAATATTGCACATGACTGAGGAGTAGAGCTGGTATATGAACCCAGACCTTACTGACCCAGAGATAGTGCCCTTATTTAATGCATCATGTTGACTTGCCCACTGCATACAGGTTTTTAAAATCGTATTGACAAATTGCATAATGATGGTTAAGCCCATATGATTCCTTTTGAAGTTGTTATTATATACTTAAGTTCATTAGCTTGTACTTTGAATAATGAGTGGGGTAACTTTCAATAATGAATAGGGTGCATGTGAGACATGGCCATTGAGAAGACAAATTCCCACCTCTCTCTTAGCACTGCCCCTATTCACACAGTCTCGTTACCATTTTATGCATCTCAATTTCTTTATCAAGATGGTGTGATTTCCACTGTCATATAATTTGATCATGGCTAATTTAAATAGATGCCTTTAAATGGTTGCCTGATTTACCATTTGACAGGACAGGAAATATTTAGTGAAAGAATATATAATGTACAATTTCCCTTACAACATTAGTCTTGTCAGAACCTAGTTTCACAATAATTTTTAATTATATACTTTTGGGCTTCAAGTATATTTTATTATTCATTTATTCTTGAGAAATGAAAGGAAGTCTGACATTTCTTGCATATATACATAGTATAGTTTTTGCTACTGTTGTTCAGTAGAACAGATGTGGATATCGTCTATTATTATTACTGTCATTATTATTATTAGTATCCTCCCTCTCACATCAAATTACCATGGCTACTATGAGTTGGAGGAGGGTTTACAACATGTCAAACATGCTACAGGATTTATCATATTTTGAGGCCACAAGGTCCTCTCAGGACTTCAAGGGCATCCATGTGTATGTCTATACACATTTCCTTCACCATTCCTGAGCTTCCCACTCTGAATTTTATATGCAGTTGGCAACACACTTGGAAATGTTTCAAAATGAATGACTCCATACTATGTAACACATAAAGAGATTATTATTGTTGTCTTCAATTATCTCAAATCCCAAGGATCGTAATAAATGAAGTCTTAGGAATAATGAAATAATAAATTTTCATTTAGAAGGAGCTGCAATCTGAATATCCTTAATACCTGCCATCAGTCTTACTCCTAAACTTCCTAGGACATGGGCGATATTGCCCTTGCATGTCCTTGGGGCTGTCAGTAAGATTAAATCTTCAGTCTTTACTGATGTAAATTCCTAACTTAAGGGAATATAAGACATTCTTTGTGAAACAAAAGTTGACAGACAAAAATGGTTTAAGAAATCACTCTTTAGAACTATATTAGCGATAGATCTCCTAAGGGTTCTTCTACCAGATTGAAAGTTCCTTAAGATCATGTACCTAACAAGCACAATGCCACAACATATGTTTGTTTCATCAATGTTAGATTTTATTTTTAAAGGCAAGGCAGAGAAAGAGACTGAGGCAGAGTCGAGAGAGCTGATGAGGAAAGAGATTCATCTCCATATCAACTTCTCAGTGCCTAGAAGTTGCTCATCACCCTTAAAGTTCTGACCTGCTTAAGAATCTCTGCTATTCTAGCCGGGTACAGTGTCTCATGTCTGTAATCCCAGCACTTTGGGAGGCTGAGGCAGGCGGATCACGTGAGGTCAGGCGTTCGAGACCAGCCTGGCCAGCATGGTGAAACCCCGTCACTTCTAAAAATGCAAAAATTAGCCAGGCGTGGTGGTACACGCTTGTAATCCCAGCTACTTGGGAGGCTGGGGCAGGAGGATCACTTAAGCCCAGGAGGCAGAGGTTGCAGTGAGCCAAGATTGTGCCACTGCACTCCAGCCTGGGTGACAGAATGAGACTCCGTCTCAAAAACAAAGAAGCTCTGCTATTCTGAACATCCAATCTAGCAAACAAAGACTGTAGTCTGGATTCCCCACTACCCAATAGCTTTGCTCACGTGTTGAGCTCCTACCCTTCCAGAGGCCCCACCTCATTTCCCTTCATTCTGCTATAGAATTGTGAATTATTGATTGTTTTGCCTTATCTGTCCCTTGATCCCCCAGGCTAATCAGAATCAAACACTAACTGCAGCTAGCTTTTCTGTAAAATTTGTCAAATAAAATAAAACTTTATTACTCACTAAGTATCAATCATTATTTGCTCTGGGAAAGCTGTTATTTGCAAAGTGGTAGAATCTAAAGTTAATTCCTCGGGCCATTCTCTCCAATTGAAAAACTATTACTAACCCAGCCCTTTATTTTATGGGCACAAATTATTATGCTTGATGTCACTTTTTAAAATGATTGAACCCATTTGTCTTCTGGATAAAAATAGTTTATAGACTATTAAAATTTTAGATAAAAGATTTTGTAATTAATGAAAAATCATTATCTTAACACATAAATATAGCATAAACTTGTCTTTTGGTGCTCTCACATAATGTCCCACATGCAAGGAAATAAATGCATAGATAGGGACTAACCCAGGCATTTCTTTTTTTTTTTTTTAATGTTTTTTATTTTACTTGAAGTTCTGGGATACACATGCAGAATGTGCAGGTTTGTTACATAGGTATACCTGTGCCATGGTGGTCTGCAGTACCTATTGACCCATCCTCTAAGTTCCTTCCCCTCGCCCCCCACCACCCAACAGGCCCTGGGTGTGTGATGTTCCCCTCCCTGTGTCCATGTGTTCTCATCGTTCAGCTCCCACTTATGAGTGAGAACATGTGGTGTTTGGTTTTCTGTTCCTGTGTTAGTTTGCTGAGGATGATGGCTTCCAGCTTCATCCATGTCCCTGCAAAAGACATGATCTCAATACCTTTTTATGGCTGCGTAGTATTCCATGGTGTATATGTACCATATTTGCTTTATCCAGTCTATCATTGATGGGCATTTGGGTTGGTTCTGTGACTTTGCTAATGTAAATAGTGCTGCAGTAAACATACGTGTGCATGTGTCTTTGCAGTAGAATGATTTATATTCCTTTGGGTATATACCCAGTAATGGAATTGCTGTAACCCAGGCATTTCTTGACCACCTTTTAAACTAGGATAGAATTATCCAACATTTCAGACATATTTCCTAATACCTGCTATATAAATATAAAAAAGTAGTGAGAATTATAGTTATATAATGACAAAAATGATTACAGCATTAAATGCCACTCCCTTGAAGTACTGATTTGTTATAATACTATATTTCCAAAAGCTTTCTTTTATCTTAAAGAAATACTCTGTCCAGTACGTGTTTGTATTTCTCTTGTTCTGAATACTCACATATATTCACAGTCAATGACACCTAGTGTGACAAATACACCCACGCTGTCTTGGCCAACGGTATTACTCTATCACGCTAAAAATACTCTCACGCAATGGATATGCTAACTTACTAGGAGTTGAACATACTCTGAAACATATACTATTTATTTAGTTGTAGCCTCAGTTCTGCCCTTTATTTTGTGCACTGCAAACCATTTTGATCCATAGTAGCCAAAAAAATATTTGCATATGATAGTACACAGAAAAATTTACCAGATTCAGCTAAAGCTGTTATTAAAGTATATAGGAAAATGTTTAACCTTTAATATAATGGAATGGAAGAAAAACTTGAAAATTAATGAGCTAAATCCATCTCAAAAATTTACAAAAATAACAGTAAAACAAATGCAAATAAAGTGAAAAAAGAGAGATGGCAAAGATAAGAACAGAAATCAAAGAAATAGAAAACAAACAAAACTTAGAAAGGATCAATGAAGCTAAAATTTGGATCTTGAAAATGATTGTAAAATCGATAATCCCTTGGCAAGATGAATGAAGAATAAAAGGGAAAAAGAAAAGTAATAATGTTAGAAATGAAAGAGGGACATCACTACAAAATCTCTAACTATAAGAGTGTACTGTAACGTGTGATAAGGAATTTGAAAATGTAAAGAAAATGGATAAATTTCTAAAATACAACAAAATTGACACAATAAACAAAAAATTTCAATAATTTCAATAGTTTTAATAATTTTATAAAGTAAATCTGTGATTTAAAAATTTTTCCCAAAATATTTCAGGCCCAGGTAGCTTCACTGGAAAATACTACCAAATATTTAACAGGAAAACAAAGCCAACTTTGTACACTCTTCCAGTGAACAGATAAAGAGGGAACTTTTCTCAACTTATTTTAGGTCAGTATAACCTTGGTATTACATTCTAACAATAAATTGGTGCAAAAGGAAAATTTCAACTCAGTTTCACTTATGAACATAAATGCAAAAATCCTAAACAAAATATCAGCCAACTATATCCAGTAATATATAAAACAAATGATACATCTTGACCAATTGGGGATTTTTCTCTAAGGGCCTACCATTTTGGGTTTTATGGTCTACAGTCATATAAAGGATTAGATGCAAAGTCTATGGACTATTCAATTTAGCTGGTAAAATTATTGACTCCTTACAAAGCAAGAATTTTTTAAAAAGCAATACCTTCTATGAAATAGTGAACTAGAAAATAAAATACACCCTACAGAACAAACTAAGAGAAAAACAATCTCTTTGTCTTGAATATGGATGAAGGTAGGTGATTTGGGGGCTAAATTCACAGGATCTGTGTGGTCAAAAAAATCCAAGCCAAAATATTAATATCTAGTAATCCAAGGTTGCCACAGCCTACAGTTTTAGACAAAGCAAACTCAAATTCTCTCTGCAGTAAAGCACTTTAAATGTGAAGTTCAAAGAATTCCTACAGATAAAATCCCATGGATTATGAGCTCAAATGCAAATACAATCAAACACAAGAGGAAATAAGCAACCTGAATGCAGAGAGCAAAAAATAACAGAATCAAAGACTGCTGACACTGCATTTAGCAGATATCTAATATAACTATATTAGTCGGGGCAATCTAGAAGGACAGAACTAATAGAACTATATATATATACACACACACACATATATACACTAAAATATTAATCTATTTCGGCAACACCCATACAGACACATCCAGGATTAATACTTTGTATCCCTCAATCCAATCAAGTTGATACTCAGTATTAACCATCACAAGTTCACCCCCGTGTCAACTTGGATCCATACACATCTCTTAAGATCATACATAATCTTCAAATAAAGACAATAATGAGGTCATAATTATGCCTAACATAATACAATTATCCTTCATACAACTGGAAACACATCAATCCCCAACCCAAAAATACTATTACATAAAGGTAGTGATACTTAAATGCTAATATGAAGTCAATAAATCTTATGTCATATGATAAAGGAAAAGGAAATAAAATGAAGATATTTTCTTAGTGCAAGTCTATACATGCACAAACACGTTTTTAACAAAAAAAGGAGGAAATAAACTCATGACAGTTACAGTCCTCATTTCCGTAGCTGGTCACATGGTCATAGCTGGTATTGATGACTACCTTCTTCTACTACCCATTCTGTATTCCCTTTGCCTTCAGCAAGCACCTTGGCAGGTCGTGGTTTTTTTCCCTGGTGAAGTGACCCAAACCTCCATTCCTGAAGTGTCTGGGTCATTTGTAGTCCTGCCTGATTTGGGCTGTTTTAGTTTCCCATTGACCTTAATCACAGGGCATGGTAATACTAAGAGATGCCCTAATGGATCACCTATATTCCATGCATGCTCTTCCTAACCTCCAATATGGAGTGGTAGACTGATTTCATCTTGATAGTCCAGGTCAATCACCCCAGCCAACACTGAAACTCCCTTGTTAGTCTGTTGACTTAAAGGCAGGAGGAGCCCAAAGTGTCCAGGTGGCAATCTTAACTTGCAGTTTAATGGAATTGTTGTTGTGTCTCCTGGTGGCAGTGTTCCTCCCTCTGGAACTAAGACCTCTAGCCCAGCAGAATGTAACTTGAACAGGGAGCAAAAATTTTGCGAGTGGATCACTGGGGTGACAGTGAGTGGTGCCACTTCCACTTCCACCCCTTGATTCCTGGACCTGTTATTCAGGGATATGCGAGAAATAGTACCATATATTGAACGCTGATTCAGAACATACTTGGCCTTCTGGAGAACTTTGCCCCAACCCTGCAAATTATCGTCACCTAGTTCATGTTGTAATTCTGACCTCAAAGGCCATTCCACCATTCTATCAATCAAAAGCCATTCCACTGTTCTATCAATCCAGCTGCTTTAGGATGATGGGGAACATGGTAAGACCAGTGAATTCTATTAGCATGAGTTCACTGCTGCACTTTTTGAGTCTCGCACGGTCGCCCAGGCTGGAGTGCAGAGGCACGATCTCGGCTCACTGCAATTTCCGCCTCTCAGGTTCAAGGGATTCTCCTGCCTCAGCCTCCCTAGTGGCTGGGATTACAGATGCCCGCCACCACGCTTGGCTAATTTTTCTATTTTTAGTAGAGACAGGGTTTCACCATGTTGGCCAGGCTGGTCTTGAACTCCTGACCTCGTGATCCAACCGCCTCAAGCCTCCCAAAGTCCTGAGATTAGAAGCGTGAATCACTGTGCCCGGCCACTGCTGCACTTCTTTAGCCGTAAAGTGAGTACCTTGGTCAGAGGCAATGCTGTGTGGAATACCATGATGGTGGATAAGGCATTCCGTGAGTCCACGGATGGTAGTCTTGGAGCATTGCATGCAGGATAGGTAAACCCATATCCGGAGTAAATGTCTATTCTAGCGAGGACAAACCTTTCCATGATGAAAGAGGTCCAATATAGTCAACCTACTACCAGGTAACTAGCTGGCTGATCACCCCGAAGAATGGTGCCATATCAAGGGCTCAGTGTTGGTCTCTACTGCTGGCAAATTGGGCACTCAGCAGTGGCTGTAACCAGGTCAGCCTTGGTGAGTGGAAGTCGTTGTTGCTGAGCCCATGTGTAACCTCCATCCCTGCCATCATGGCCACTTTGTTCATGGACCCATTGGGCAATGACAGGGGTGACTGGGGAAAGAGGTTGAGTGGTGTCCACAGAATGGGTCATCCTAGCCACTTCATTATTAAAATCCTCCTCTGCTGAGGTCACCTGTTGGTGAGTACTCACATGGGATGCAAATATCTTCACAGTTTCTAACCACTCAGAGAGTTCCATCCACATATCTCTTCCCCAAATTTCTTTGTCACCAATTTTCCAGTCATGCTTCTTCCCAGTCCCTGACCATGCTTCTTCCAAGTTCTAAACCATTGGCTACAGCCCATGAATCAGTATATAACTGCACATCTGGCCATTTCTCCTTTCATGCAAAGTGCACAACCAGGTGCACTGCTCAAAGTTCTGCCCACTGGGAAGATTTCCCTTCACTGTTGACCTTCAGGGACGTCCTAGAAAGGGGCTGTAGTGCTGCAGCTGTCCACTTTCAGTTGGTGCCTGTGTATCATGCAAAGCCATCTATGAGTCAGCCCCTAGTCTTCTCTTCCTCTGTCAACTGATCATAGAGAACTCCCCATGAAGCCATCTGTGCAGGCTGAGGGAGAGAAGGCAGGGTGGCAGGAGTGGAGACCATGGGCATTTGAGCCACTTCCTCATGTAACTTACTTGTGCCTTCAGGACCTACTTGAGCCCTATCACGTATATACCACTTCCATTTGATGGTGGAATGCTGTTGCGCATTCTCCACATTATGGCAGGATGGGTCAGAAAGCACCCAGTTCATTCAGGTTGCATGGTGACTTGATGATCCATGGTCAAACGTTCAGTTTCCACCAAAGCCCAGAAACAGGCCAAGAGCTGTCTCTCAAAAGGAGAGCAGTTATCTGCAGAAGAATGGCAGGGCCTTGCTCCAAAATCCTAGATGACACTGGTGTGATTCACCTGTGGGGGCCTGCCAAAGGCTCCAAACAGCATCCCTATCTGCCACTGACACCTCAAGAAGAGCAATTACAGGGCTCTTCAAAGACACAGGTGCTGCTCTCACAAATCTGTTTCACAAGGCATTGGTCAACAGTATATCTTCTGGACCTTCCCAGCTGGGATGAGTACGTTTAAAGTGATTAATCCACTCCACCATCCCAATCTCCCTAAGCCTTTGGATTCCTTCCTCTACATTAAAACAAGGGAGGGCAGGCATTTCCAGCTCACTCACAGCAGGCCATCTTTTCAGCTAACAAAGTAAACTATTAGAACCTTTTTTAACTCCCTGAGCTGCAACACTAAATGCAGAGTCCCTACTTAGCGGGCCCAAATCAATAAATTCAGCCCGATCCAACTCTATGTTCCTTCCACCATTATTCCAAACCCTTAATATCCATTCCCATGCCTGTTCTCCAGATTTCTGTTTATATAAACTAGAGAACTCAAACAGTTATTTTCAAGTGTAGTGCTCCTCCTCATGGGTCACACTCTCAACCTCACTTCCAGGGGCCCACTGGGACTTTAGTCTAGTTATAGGTCCAGAAGCAAATAGGGGTGTTGGGGGTGACTTCTGAGGAGAATCAACATTATTTTGCCTGGAAACAGGCTCAGGGAGGCCATCACTGTTGTCTCAGGCAGTGCAAGGTTTATCTCCTCAAAAGTGGAAAGGCTGATGGCAGCATGGGTCGGGGAGGGGATGTTGCCACTATGGAGGATGGGGCAGCTGTTCCTTATGGCAAAAAAAGTTTCATCAGCGTTTACAAACTCAGTGCCCCCAGCTTCATCAGGGTCCTCCCACATGTCCCCATTCCAAGTTTCAGGGTCCCGTTCTTTTCCAATCAATGACCTCACTTTAACAGTAGACACCTGGTGAGGCTGTGCATCCATCTTTCGTTGCAGGTCAGCCACTCACATGATAAGAACTTGTATCTGTTTTTCCACAATTTCAGCTCTTTCTCTACAGAAGATAAAACTCACTGGGGGCAATCTTAGCAGATTTGAGGCTTAGTATCTGCTTCTGAAGCCAGGAAACAAAATCCCTGAGTTCATCATTTTCTTTCATCACTTTGTCCACTAAACTTAGGAGCAACCACCAGCTTCATTACGCTCCTTGGTTCTCCACATACGGTCAAGGAGTCACTAAACTCCTTGCCTCTCACAAGTGGTGAAAGAAGAGTGTCAAATGCATTTATTTTGCATAACTCTCTAAACAATTCACGCTGAGGACTAATCAGTGTTCTCCATACCATTAGAAGTAGAGTCCTTAGCATTTTGGGGTCTAATCATATTAAGAAGCCAACTCCAGAAACCCAAAACCAATGAAAGAACTCCATCCTTAATATTCTGTTCCTCTACAACTACTCCTGGTACCAAAATCAATATTACTCAGGATTCCCTAGAGGGGCAGAACTAATAAGTGTGTGTGTGTGTGTGTGTGTGTGTGTGTGTGTGTGTGTGTGTGTGTAGTTTATTAAGGATTAACTTACACAATCACAAGGTCCCACAATAGGCTGTCTACAAGTTGAAGAGCAAGGAGAGCCAGTCCGAGTCCCAAAACTGAAGAACCTGGAGTCTGATGTTGGAGGGCAGGAAGCATCCAGCATGGGAGAAAGAGGTAAGCTGGGAGGCTAGGCCAGTCTCTCCTTTTCACATTTTTCTGCCTCTTTTATATTCACTGGATGCTGATTAGATGGTGCCCACCAGATTAAGGGTGGGTCTGCCTTCCCCAGCCCACTGACTCAAATGTTAATCTCTTTTGGCAACACCCACACAGACACACCCAGGATCAATACTTTGTATCCTTCAATCCAGTCAAGTTGACACTCAGTGTTAACCATCACAATAACTATGCTTAATAATATTTGAAAAAAAAATTAAGATTTTAAGTTTTTTTAAATAAATAAGTAAATCCCAGCAGATTAAAAAAAAAAACCAAAAACATAATACAACTTCAGACACTGAAAACTGTAATTATCAAACATGAAAAAAATGAATAGGATAAAAGGCAGATTACACATAGCTGAAAAGGGAATTTATGAAATGAAATATGAATATTAAAACACTGATCTTGTATCTTGAAACTTTGCTGAAGTTGTACATCAGATCTATGAGCCTTTGGGCAGAGATTATGGGGTTTTCTAGGTATAGAATCATATCACCTGTAAGAGAGAAGTTTGACTTAATCCCTTTCAATGTGGATGACTTTTTTATTTCTCTCTCTTGCCTGACTGCTCTGGCTAGGACTACCAGAACTGCTGAATTGGAGTAATGAGAGTGAGTATCCCTGTCTTGCTCTGGTTCTCAAGGAAAATGCTTCCAGCTTTTGAAAGCCTTTTCTGTGACTACTGAGATGATCGTGTGGTTTTTTGTTTTTAGTTCTGTTTATGGGACAGATCACATTTATTGATTTGTATTAACCAACCTTACATCCCAGGAATAAACCCTACTTGATCATGGTGGATTGGCTTTTTGCTGTGCTCCTGGACTCGATTTGCTAATATTTTTTGAGGAATTTTGTATCTATGTTCATCAGGGATATTGGTCTGAAGTTTTCTTTTTTCACTGTGTCTCTGTCAGGTTTTGGTATCAGAATGATGCTGGCACAGGAGGCTGAGGATTGGAAGTCTATTGGGTACTATGCTGACAATCTGGGTAATGAAATAATGTGTATACCAAACCCCAGATGCGGTTTATCCATGTAACAAACCTGCATATGTACCTCCTAAGCCTAAAATAAAAGTTGGAAGGAAAGGAAAAACATATATGAAAACATTACTGAGAGGTAGTGCAAGCAGCTTAATTGTGGTCAGAGAACATTGCATGCATGATACAGATTCTTTGAAATTTGATGAAAATTGCTTTATAGCTGATCTGCTAAATGGTTAATTTTTGTAAATAATTAATGTAGCTCAAGAATACTGAGAACACATGGACAAAGGAAGGGGAACATCACACACTGGGGCCTGTTGTGGGGTGGGGGGAGGGGGGAGGGATAGCATTAGGAGATATACCTAATGCTAAATGACGAGTTAATGGGTGCAGCACACCAACATGGCACATGTATACATATGTAACAAACCTGCATGTTGTGCACATGTACCCTAAAACTTACAGTATAATTTAAAAAAAGAATACTATGTATTTTTGCATTCACTGGAGTGTTCTGTACTTTTGCAGTAGATCAAGTAGCTAGTCATGTTGTTCACATGTATTTCTTTTTTCCATGTGCTTATTTTTTCATTGCCATTTACTTCTGTCAATCATTGCTTTTTGCATTTTGACACTATGTTATTAAGCAAGCCACAAACTATTCTTGGTATGTTGAACATCTTCGTTATATAGTATATGACCATCTCAATGAATAGAGAATAATCATGCTATGAAATCTGACACCCACTCATGAATAATAAAAACAAATTTTTATCTAACTATAAATAAAAGAAAACTTATTTTGTCCAACAAGGACAATATCAAAAAGAAACATAAAATCTTAAAGCACTCATTTAAAATCAGAAGCAATACAAGGATGCTTTTCATTACCACTAACATTAAACATTATACTGGAAGTTCATGTCAATGCAATAATACAGGAATAAGATATAAAGTGTATAAGGATTGGAAGTGAAGAAACAAAACTGTCATTTTTCAGATGATAGAACAGTCCACAAAGAAACCTGGAAAGATGTACATATAAATTATTCAAATTATGAAGAAATTTTAGCCTGTTTGCCAGATGTAAGAACAAATATAAAAGTTAGCTGCATTCCTATAAATCAAGAAGAAATTGTTAGAAAGCTTATATAAGGAAATATATTTATAACAGTCGCACAAAAACATAAAGAAACTAAACAGTGGAATTCTGGATCCAGTTTGTACAGCTCGCAAGAAGTCGCTGTTAAATTTTTAAGAATTTTGTGAGCCAGTTGTTAAATATGATCATAATTTAAAATTAAATTATATAAACTTATAATTACTAATAATTATTATTACATTTTGCAATTATTTACATTGTTGAGGTTACTGGCATCTATTGTTTCTGTTTAGTGGGAATACTATATAATGGCACACTACTCCACATCTCTTCTCAACTCCCCCATTCCGTGATGTCATGTCAATAACTTGATATTGGCCATGGTAGGAGAATTTACAGCATGGAAATCAGCAAATCTACAAGTTGTTCTGCTTCTCCCACTCCCCAGGTAACCTATTGTTAAACATTTACTGGCACATCACCAAACCAAAGAACAAATCTATCACAAGATTTAAAAGACCTTTATGGAAAAAAATTATTTAAAATTAATTTATTGAGCACCTACTATATACCAGGGTCTATTCCAGGAAATAATCAGGCAGATAAAACTCTTTGTTATCATTTATATCAAGGAGAAGCAACATGTAATATAAGGTTAAGAACTATGGTAGTAAAATACAAATATTCTAGAAGAGGGTGGCGTTTCTTTTTAAATAGTCTGGATGGTAAAGATTTCATTGAGAAGGAAAAAGCCAATTAAAAACCTAAATAAAAAGAGGAATAAAGCTAAATAAATTGAAAAGTATAACGCATTCACAGATTAAAACCCCAAAATATTTCAAATTTGGGGAATTTTAATCTGTGAATGTGTTATACTTTTGCATTTCATAAAATCTGTAACTTTATCACAAATTTATCTATACATGGATTGCCAGTCAAAATCTCAAAAGTTTTTGGTAGAACTTCATCATCTAATTCCAAAATTTACATGAAAGAACAAAAGCCCAAGAATTGTCAAAGTTTCTGAAGAGCAAAGTTGGGAACTCCTGCCCTAATAATTATTAATATAGTTATATATACAATAATATATAAGAATACTATAGATACAATAATATATAGTATTAATTTACTATAAGGGTATAGTGATTAATAAAATATGGTATTAGCAGGAGTACAGAGCCCAGAAACAGATCTCACAGATTTGTAAAATTGATATGCCAGAGATAGCATAAGAAATCTGTGAAAGAATGGGGAAAGGCTATTATAACTAGTGTCTAGGTAAAGCTTTAAAACAGTTAGACAAAAACTTAGGAAATATCTCCACAATCTTTTGCAGAAGAATTTCTTAAATAAGAAACACACAATCCATAGAGGAAAGAAACTTAGGAATTCAACTGCATTAAAATTACAAACTTTTGTTTATCAAAAGAAACACTGAAGAAATGAAAAACAAGCCACAGTAAAATTATATGATGTCTGGCATTTGCTTGGCAGGGAGGTGGTGAATTGTGAGTACCTGTTTGATGAAATAAGAGTAACCATGAATTGATGAAATGGATACTGTTGTAGCTGAGCAGTGGGTACCACTATTCTATCTACTTTTACATGTGTTTGAAATGGCCACAATTTGCAGAAAACATTCACAACACATACTGAAAAAAAGATTAATATTCAAAGCATTTAAACAACTCCTAAAGTGTTAATAAGAAAAAAAGGATTCAGTAGAAAAGAAAATGGCCACCAGATATAAATATGTTTTCTACACAGGAGGAATATTGTCACAGGATCCGTCAGGTGTTGATTCGCCAGCTGGAAACCTCTGTGGCCAGGGGCACCTTTGCCCAAGTTTTTACTCGAGCCTGCTGGGCTCATTCCACCCACTCAGACTGGCAGACTGTGCTCAGCTCACACTACTGGTCTGACTCTCATGCCTGTCAAGGGCAAGCCAGGCACGAGTGGTGAGGGGTGTGTGAGCAATTGAGTATGGGGTGCAGTCACTGCGCACAGCCATGCACACTGGCTGTGGTGGGGTGCTTAGCTCTGGGTTCTGAGAAGGGTGCTGGCTCCCTGTGAGGCTGTGACTGGACCAGGTGTACCACAAGCAGCTTCCACGGCTGGCACTGGGGAACACAATGGCACCCAGAAGCTTGAAGATGCCAGGAACTGCAGAGCCCCAGAGAGGGTGTCACAGCCCTGGCTTGGTGAGCTCCTAGGTATAGGCTCCCCAAGGGGCCACAGCTTTTCTCTCCTTCTCTCTTCTCTCCTTCTTGTCACCTGCAACAAGGCAAGCAAGGGGCATGCTTCAGCCCTGTTTGTGTTATTGCTCTTTTAGCCCCACCCACCATTTGGCAGGTCCTGAGTTCTTGTCCTGTGTCCAGGAAAAATGAGGTATGCAGACAAGTGGAAGGTGAGCAAGATAAAGAAGGGCTTTAGTGAGTGACAGAACAGCTAAGAGGAGACCCTCAGTGGGTAGCTCCCATCTGCAGGCAGGGCATCCCGACAAGTATTGAGCTCTCAGTGGAGAGGAGACCCCCAGGGGGTAGCTCCTCTCTGCAGCTGGTACTCCCAATATCTGCCCAACTCTCAGCAGAGGAGACCCTGGAGTGCTCCTCTCTCAGCAGAGAGGAGACCCTGTAGTGGGTAGCTCCTCTCTGCAGCTGGTAGTCCTGACGTCTGCCCAAATCTCAGCAGAGAAGAGACCCTGGAGTGGGTCACTCCTCTCCACAGGCAGGTCATCCAGTCATCTCAGTCATCTACTTGAGTCTGGCTGAGTTCAGAGTTTTCACAGGCTTCAAAGAAGAGGAAGTGCGTACTAATTGGTTCATGGGTGGCCATGGGTGGGCCCAGAAAAAGCATCATATGTTCCCATTCTTGTCCGTCAGCCAGGCCCCCAGGCTTCAGGCCCTCCCTGGTTTGAAGATGGGGCTTCACAGGGGACCCACCCCTTTCTGCCTAGGAGCCTATCTGGAGCCTGGGCAATGACAGGAGGTTGTCAGTGCCCAGCGTCTGGAGGGGCCGAGGCGGCAGGAGTCTAGCATGTTAGCATTATCCCAAATGGCTGGGTTGTGACAGCACCCAGGCTCAGCCTCAAGTTTGCTTGAAATGGGAGTGAGCATCAGGAGTGGGGAGAGGCCAGGCAGCAGGAGCAGGCACTTCCAAGCTGCAGGGAAGGGGGGCTTCCCAGGCCGTCAAGAACACAAAGATGCCTCGCCTGCAGCTGTGGCTGGATGGCTATAGCTGTTTTCCAGGACAGCACGGCTCCTGCCTGCTTCCAGCCCCCAAGAGCACAGGGATTTCTGAGTCTGCAGCCACGGCTTGGGTGGCTGCAGCTTCACCTGGGAAGTGCAAGGCTCCTAACCTGCCCACTTGGAAGGGAGCGGGGCTTCCACCTGTTTCCAGCTCCCACCAGCTCCATGGAGCTGCAGCCCTGGCCACACCTCCCCCACTGTAGCCAGTGTGTTTGCAGCGGTCACTCCAGGTGGGCCGCTGCTGCCATCAATATGAAAGATCAATAAATATGAAAAGATATTTCAACCTCATTTGTAATCAGGGAAATTAAAATTAAAACCATGAAGAGATAACATATTACATAAATGGGTAAAAATTATAGTCTGTTACATAATAAGAACAGACCTGCAGCTGATAAGAGTATAAATTGGTACAACCAACCTGGATAATCATTTGGCATTATGTAACAAAGTTGAAGATACACATAACATATAACCTTAGAATTTGACTCCTAGGTATATTTGTTATCTGTAAATTTGGACATGTTACAAGAATGTTCTTAGCAACAATATTTGAAATGGCAAGAAAACTACAAACAACAAGACTTTCCACTAAGAACAAAAAAAGATTTTTTATGTTATTTTCCTTCAACAGAATACGGTAATAAAAGCAAATACCTTAGTGATAAACAGCAACATTGCTATATCTCAGAAAAATAAAGTTGAGTGAAAAAAGCAAGTCTTGGCAGTGTATGAGTATGATATCAAGTTCCACAAATGAAAAATAACATATTAATTGAATGCATTTATACCTGATAAAAAAGGCAAATAATTACAAACACATAATTAATTATACAAGTTTCCACTGGAAGGAGGCAGTAGGGGAGTGGGAGAAGATCAGAGAGATGTCCATAGAAGGCTTCAGGACATTAGTTGCTTAAGCTGAGTGGTAGGTAGAAAACTGTTCCTTTCACTATTATTCTTTAAACTTACAAATATTTTATATACTTCTTTCTATATTTACTTTACATATTTCAAAATGCATATATCATTGTTAAAAAGGATAATGTATATAGCAACTTCAGTGGAAGAGATTTATTTTTAATGCAATGTGAGATGACAACCACTGAGATCTGTAATGATCTCTGTGATCTAGAAACTTTCTACTTTTCTACTTTATATTATTAGTGCCCCAAAACTGTGTAGAAAAGCACAGAGCTAAATATCAGAGAACAAAGAGCTAGAAAACACTTAGTGGGAAAGAATGAGATATGTCCTTCTATCATGTCATAAAACACCTGCCATATCTTTCATTTGATAAAAGATACTAAGAAAACTCAGGGGCCCTCAGCAGTCCTGCAGTTGCCTTCCTTTCTCTTCAGGTGTGATTCCCATCATTTTCATCTTGAATCAAATGACAGAAAATTCATGGTCCCATTCTCTCCCTGGTGTAACCTCACATCAATTTGTTATCAAGCATAACCTATTTAGCTAATTGCAAGACCTCAACACTTCAGCACTGTCAGCAGGTAAAAGTCATCTAAAATCCAAGCCAGATTCAATACATTAATAAAGATTATAGACTTTAAGAAAAGAGTACACTCAAGTTAACAACCTAGATTAAGGTAAACAGCAATGAATAGAAAGATTCAACGTTCAGTGTTACCCTAGGCTAATGTAGTCATCTCCTGGCTGGTCTCCTGCTTCAAGTTTATTCAGTCAGTCAATTCTACATATACATCCAGTTAAATAACGTATTGGGTTAATTACTTGCTTACTATTGTTTCTCTCACTAGAACATACGTTTTTTGAGCAAAGGAAATGTATTTTATTCATCTTCAAATGTCCAGCATTGCGCATACAGTAACACTCAATAAATATTAAATAAATGAATGAATAAAGATATAATCACAGAATACATAAGCAGTCATCTACTCAATTCCTTTGTTTCACAGGTGAGAAAAACGAGACCATCCAGATTTCTCAAAATGTCTACAAGGTTGTTTCATTTGCATCCTTACTGTACTAATCAGAGAACTCAATAGAAACAGAGCCAGTAGAAGATACACACACGGAGATTTATTATAGTGGAATTGGCTCACACAATTATGAAGCCTGAGAAGTCCCACAATCTGCCATCTGCAAGCGCGAGACTCAGAAAGCCAGCACTGTAATTCAGTCCAGGTCTGAAAGCCTGACAACCATGGGAGCTGATAGTGGAAATTCCAGTTTGAGGACCAGAGAAGATGAGATGAGATGAGATGTTCCAGCTTAAGGCGAGAAGCAACAGGGGCAAATTCCTCCTTTCTCTCCATTTTGTTCTATTCAGGACCTCAAAAGATTGACTGGTGCCTGCTCACACTGGAGAGGGCAATCTACTTTACTGAGTCCACTGATTCAAGTGCTAATCTCATCTAAAAACATCCTTACAGACACACCCAGAACTGATAATTAATCTGGGCATCCTATGGCCATTCAAGCTGACTCATAAAACTGTCACAATGTTAAAAGGTACTTCATAATAGCATTACCTTCCTACAGAATACAGGGTTTTCAAAATGTAAAAGAATCATTCATTTTGAATTTTCATTTTCTCAAATTTTAATTTCATTTGAGTTTGATTTATTGAGTGGACAGCTTGTGAGCCCACTCTGAATTCAAGACTGCAATCTAAAAATAGCTACCAAAAATTGTAAATTCTGCATTTGCAGAATTCTAACATGACTTTAGGAGTAATCACCACGGACTTAATTGCATTAAACATCACACATATATTTTAATCTATTTGGACTAATTTAACAACTATTATTTATACTGTTAATATCAATTATTTATATCTAATACCAATGCTATACCACGCAAAGATAAATGTTACTGATTTCCCTACGAGGCCATAAGAACCCGAGGATAGAGCCCCTCACTGCCCTGTTTACATCTCTCTTTTTTCATAGTTTAGCCTCTGTGAATTTCCTTTACTTTCTTGGCTACTAATATAAAAGGATGTTTGTTGTAGCTAACCTAGCATTTCTCTATGTATGTAGCAGGAGGGTTTTTTCAGATGTAAAATCTATCACAGTGTAATTAAAGGAATTTTAACCTGTTGCCTAAGAAAGAAATTGTTTTCCATCTCCATGTTTTTCTCATCCTGCTTTTGTTGAGGGACTTAGAAATGTATAAAATGCTCTACAAAATTAACAGTATCAAGAGTAAATGGATACCACAAGAATGATATACATGATCTTTGCCATTGACTAGGTAGACAACAATCACAAGAAACAGTCACTACAACTCCACCTCCACTGAACTGAAGAAAACATCAAACTTCATTAATGGTCTTTGATTCTGCTCTGAAAAGATCACCAGCACCTTTAAGCTGAAGGCAGGATGAGTAACGTCCAGTGGCAGAATACTGTCTAGTCCACTATCCATCTCCAATCAAGGCACATTATATTAAAAGCATTTTTATTAGATTCTACTCAGTCCTCCTTGAAGAGAAAAAACTTTGAAGATGATGTCAAAATGTGCTTCTACACTTAGAAGATTTTTTCTACTGAAGGGATTAAGATGATTATCCAAAAGCCTGATGACCATCATTGAGGAAATGTTTAGATCCAAATCACATCATGTGTGTGACCTTTGGCAAATCACTCCATAATCCTGGACCTCTTATTTCATCTGTTAGCTGAGCTTGTTGGCTTTCCAGCTAGGACATATTATGACTCTATCAAGGACATATTATGGAAATAAAGGATCGGTTTTCAAAACTGGCACATTATTATAAAATCGTTATAGGAAAGGGGTCCCACCTGATCCAGGCTCCCACAGAGGGTTCTTGGATCTCATGCAAGAAAGAATTCAGAGTGAGTCCATAAAGTGAAAGAAAGTTTATTAAGAGAGTAAAGGAATAAAAGAATGGCTACTCGATAGACAGAGCAGCCCAGAGGGCTGCTAGTTGCTCATTTTTATGGTTATTTCTTGATGATATTCTAATCAAGGGGTGGATTATTCATGTTTCCCCTTTTCAGACCATACAGGGTAATTTCCTGATGTTGCCAAGGCATCTGTAAACTGTCTTGGCACTGGTAAGTGTGTAGCAGTGAGGACAACCAGAGGGTCACTCTCGTCACCATCTTGGTTTTGGTGGGTTTTGGCTGGTTTCTTTACTGCAACTCATTTTATCAGCAAGGTCTTTATGGCCTGTATTTTGTGCCAACCTTCTATCTCATCCTGTGACTTAGAATGCCATAACCATTTGAGAATGCAGCCCGGTAGGTCCCAGCCTCATTTTAACCTGCCCTTATTCAAGATGGAGTTGTTCCAGTTCACACACCTCTGACATTCCTCCCCACCCTTTTATAAGAGAACCCTTAATCCTACGGGTTGCAGAGGGATGAAGATCCATCTTCTGTAACTTCTTCAGGCTGAATAGGGGCAATGATATTCCTACCTCACTATTAGGGTCTCTTGTATTCAAGGTAGAGAGGAGCTCAGTCAGAAAGCATCAGTATGGTGAGGGTCATTCATAACTCTGAGTTTTGACAAAAGGTGCTGTATGAAAGATTAGTAAGTGTTTACAAAAACATTTAATAAGCTTGTCCTTCATTCCTACACCAAGAATACAACAGCAAAATATTCCACAACAGTAAAGTGAAATAAGTAAAATTATCTCAAATAAACTAAATTAGAAGGCTTTCCATGAATTGGACAACTGTTGGAACCAAGCTGATATGGGGTTGCTACATGATTCCAATATGTGGCCACGATTAGAATACTGATCCAGATTTTTACATTACCCATCTCTCTTGTTTCTTTTGAGCTGCTGTCAGAGATTACTGGATGGTTCACAGGAATAAGTAACATTAGCCTAAATTGAAGAAACAAACTTAAAATCAACTGATGAGACTAGAATTTAATAATGTGTACCACAGTTCTTAAAACATAATATTTCTATCTCCAATTTTCCATCTTTACTAAAGACAAATCACGGTAAGATTGATTTGCTTTATTACACTTGGCCATTTTATTTGTATGAAGTGTAGCAAGAATAATTATTTTTCACATAAGCTCTTTTTAAATTGGCTTTGATGGAACTCTGTTCCATAGAAGCAATCTCAATTAAGACTTTTTTAAAGCTGAGCACAGCCATGGGTTTGTACCATCAAATACCTATGAGTTGAGTAAATTCCTCTCCTTATGAGGTCCCAGGATAACTTTGGGCTCCTGGACTTGTTAGAAAGTGGCATTCTTTACTTACCACAAGTCAGAAACCCTGTACAGGAACTGTGGAGACAAGGTATGAGACATTTCCCCAAAGGGCTTTTATTGGCTCTACAAGTCAAATTTGATTCCTTAAAGGAAAGCATGCCATTCCAGCCAAAGCCTTGGTAAAATAACCAGTTTTTCCTATTGTGTCCTGTTATAAAAGGAATCAGATTCTTATTGCACTTACGCAAATAACTACATTGCCATAAATTAAGGATACTCACAAATAGTTTCTAAATTATGGACAAATCAGGTAGAGAGAAACAAATATGCTCCAAATTTTGTTCTTGAGTATACTTTACTCAATTGCTACAAGCTGTAAATAGCTCAAAAGAAAAGTTTTCTCAACTCTGAAAAACAGAACAAAGTATCAGCAGCATTTTAAGCAAAAAGGTAAAAAGATTACTTCAGATTTCTTTAGTTTAGTTTATGTATTTAACTCCTGTTTGATATTCATGAACATTTCAGCTATCAATGAGAGTCCTGAAAGTTGTTTCCTTTATTCTAATGTCACAATTTCCAAAGTTATCAGAAACCTGCATTTAAATGCACCTGTCGAAGTCCTATACCTGACTATAAACCATCTTGTAAAGAGGACCAAAACAAGACAACACAGTTGTCTGTGGATGGCAAAACATTCTAGGACAGCCCCAGTCAAAAACACAATTGACAAATTTTGGTTACCTCTGTGGCACACAATGATTTTATGTAACAATTATTATTATTAATATACACTAAGTTATATCAGAATTATAGGAGTTTCCTATAATTTTCAACACATATCAATAGTACATTTATACAAATACAGCCCAAAGAAAGCAAACACTATTTTACATTTGACAATGCTACCTGCATGATTTTTATACCAAATAAGCCAAATGTCACTGTTGCATTAGTGCATTATTGATGTCAAACCCAATTCTTAATAAAACCTTATAGACAAATTTAATCTTAATTCGTTTGACCCTAAGGTAAGATTCTCATAAACCTTTTATAACCCTTTATAAGTTTTGTTAAAGAGCAGATTATAAGCAGGTTTTTGCTTTAAGAAAAACCTGTTGTGCTTTTATTGCAAAATTCAATAACAGAAAAACTGAATAATGGCACTTTAACTTTAGCCAATATATTCACACACAGAATTTCTTTTATAATTAACTTCTCACAAACCTTCTATAACTTGCTTAAACCTTCAGCTTTATCCTATTTAACTTAACTCATTTATGCTGAAGGTTACAAATTTTGGGGGGAAAATCAGACCTTGGTGTTGACCTTGAGCAGTAGGATATAAATAACTGCCACAAGCTCAGCGTTCCAATAATGGAACACTAGGCATATATAGGTTAAAACAATCCTTTAACCCTTTAATTTAGGCAAGAAAAATCCACATTCCCATGCCTTTCCATAGTCATTTCCAAAAACACATTTCACTTTTCTTACACACTTTGCATGTAAAACTGTTTCTTTAGGAGTCTCAAATACACATTACACTGTTAACTCTTAGTGACTTTTACTTTTGGTGAAAATCCTGGTTAGTAAGCGATTTTAATTATGTACTAGGTGTGGAGCCTATCCTAGGACACACCAGGCAGAAGTGCAGATAAGGGCTGAATCCAGCATAGCTAGACAGCGTGGCTAACTCCACATGTCCCCAGGCTTTATCTAGAATTTAATGCTCCAAGGTAGGTAAATTGAACAATTTTCAAAAGTCAAAGAAGCAGTTTATGACCTTAAAGCATTTAGCAAACCTAATATCGAAACTGCATAACTTAGACCAAATGTTTACATTTTTGAAGATATTTTTATTTTACCAATAATCTTTAAAACTGTCTTTATTTCCTAAAGATTACTTAAGTCACATGAACTAAAAAGCATTACTCTTTTTACTTTTCTAACAAAATATTTGATTTAAGCTCTTATTTTTAAGCCAATTAATCAAAGCTCTTTTATATCACACACACAACATATATACATATACATACTGACAGAAGATAAAGGACTCATCTCTAAACCAGGAATTGAACCCTAAATGCAGGCCGCCATTGTGAAAAGAGAAAGCATGGCCACATGGTTACAAGGTCAAGCTCCCAAGGACATACAAGACAAGAAGGAAACCTCATCCAGTTTTTTCAGGGAACTGCAGCAAAGTTTTTAACTGACCAGTTTGCTGGGCTATCTTGAAAAGTGGGCTTACAGGTGTCCTAAGCCTGTGTTCTATCCTAAGGTACCCCTCTCCACTATAGAACACAGAAAGACACACACACCAAATTCACAATAGCTTAAGATTAGCCTCACAAATCCTTTTTCCCATTAATCAAAACTTTAATAAACAATGATTTTTACCATTCTTTCAACCAGTTTGCAGAAAGAGAGAGAGAGAGGAGCATTGCCTGTGGCAGAGTGGGGAAAGCGAGGCACTCAGGGAGGCCAAAGAAAGACCCCCCATTGCAGCCAACACTGAAAAGTTCGGGCAGCCACTTGTCAGTAGTGAAGGACTCTTTTCCAGCAGTCCTAATAGCTCTCAAGTTTCCCCATTTAGGGAGGAAAAAGTTCCCCATGTCCCATGATCCTGAACATGCCTAATCCTGTACATGCCTGTACATGCCTAAGGATTAGGCTTACCATAGTCATAAGCAAAGAGTGCTAAGCAGATTATTCCAAAGAGAATAGCAGTTAACATCCCATAGTGCCAAACCTATTCTTAGCCGAGAAGGACTTAAACGAGAAGGACTCTACCAAGAGGGACTTTACTAAGAGGGGTCTCTAACCCCCTAAATCTTAGAAGGAACTCCAACCCTCCTAAATCAGGCCTCTAACACAAGGTCAGTCAAGCATCCTTGCCTTTTATTGAGAGAAGCCTTTAACCCTCTCTTAGGAGACACTCTAACTCCCCTGAGTTAAGCCTCTAACCTAATTCCATTCTTTTCCTGGGTATGCATATACCCAAAGTCATCCAATCAGTGCTGTCTATTTCCTTTGGGTGAGAGGTCTCTCAGTATCATCCCTTCAGGGTTCTCCAGAAAGAAGTTACTGGACCCCACCACTTACCCAAAGTTAGCATTTGGGTCAGGGGTTTCCGCATTATAGTACCTTCCATGGTCACCAGAAAGATGTTACAAGAAAGGAGTTCCAATCCAGACTCCATTCTTGGATCCTGTGCAAGAAAGAATTCAGGGTGAGTCCACAGTGCGAAGTGAAGGCAAGTTTATGAAGAAGGCAGAGGAATAAAAGAATGACTACTCCGTAGGCAAAGCAGTCCCAAGGGCTGCTGGTTGCCCATTTTTATGGTTATTTCTTGATGATATGCTAATCAAGGTGCGGATCATTCATGCTTCCTCTTTTTAGACCATATAGGGTAACTTCCTGACGCTGCCATGGCATTTGTAAACTGTCATGGCACTGGTGAGAGTGTAGCAGTGAGGACGACCGAGGCCACTCTAGTGGCCATCTTGGTTTTGGTGGGTTTTGGCCAGCTTCTTTACTGCAAACTGTTTTATTAGCAAAGTCTTTATGACCTGTATTTTGTGCTGACCTTTGATCTCATCGTGTGACTTAGAATGCCTTAACCATCTGGGAATGCAGCCCAGTAGGTGTCAGCCTTATTTTACCCAGCTCCTATTCAAGATGGAATTGCTCTGGTTCACATGCCTCTGACAAAATAACGTTAAGCTTAAACACTGATTTGCTCATTCATTCATTCATTCACCCCATGCCTTTGTTCCAGATACTGGAATGATGGAAGGGTTTTAATGCCTTTAAAAAAAAATCTACACTCAGTCAAACAGCTTTTTGTTTTTGAGACGGAGTCTCGCTCTGTCACCCAGGCTGGAGTGCAGTGGTGCGATCTCGGCTCACTGCACACTCCACCTCCCAGATTCACACCATTCTTCTGCCTCAGCCTCCCGAGTAGCTGGGACTACAGGTGCCCATCACCATGCCCAGCTAATTTTTTGTATTTTTAGTAGAGACGGGGTTTCACCATGGTCTCTATCTCCTGACCTCGTGATCCGCTCACCTCGGCCTCCCTAAGTGCTGGGATTACAGGCGTGAGCCACCGCACCCGGCCTCAAACAGCTTTTTGACAGTAAATAATAAGCATATGTTTCAAATACAGAAAACTTAAGAGTGTGTAACAGCTAACTCTAGACTAACACGAGGGGTCCAAAGGCCTGAACTCACACTCATGTCTCCTCTCTATAGTTAAACAATTTATTTAATACTACTTGTAAGGTATCCTAACAATCAAACGATAGTTCTAAAGTCCTAGAATATAAACCTCTACCATCCATTTAGTCACTGTTAAGAAATATGATTTAAACGTGACCATCTGACATCATGTGCCTCTTCATGTAATGCAGTAAGAAGGAAACACCTCTCATGTAGTATTCCTCATAAAAATGCAGCATGGAATCCAATCATGTAGCAACATCAGATAACTGCAAATGGAGGAACATTCTACTATATTACTGACCTATTCTATCCTCTTTTAAAATGTCTAGGTTATAAAGGCTAAGAAGGCCAGATGCGATGGCTCATGCCTGTAATCCCAGCATTTTGGGAGGCCAACACGGGCAGATAACTTGAGGTCAGGAGTTCAAGACCAGCCTGGCCAACATGGTGAAACCCCATCTCTACTAAAAATACAAACATTAGCTGGGTATGGTGGTGAATGCTTGTAATCCCAGCTACTTGGGAGGTATCACTTGAGCCCAGGAGGTGGAGGTTGCAATGAGCCAAGATTGTGCCACTGCACTCCAGCCTGGGCAGCGGAGAGAGACTCCATCTCTAATTAAAATAAAATAAAATAAAATAAAATAAAATAAAATAAAATAAAATAAAATAAAATAAAATAAAATATAAAATAAAATAATAAGATAAAATAAAATAAAATAAAATAAAATAAAATAGGCTAAGAAATGGTTTGAGGTTTAAAGAGACCAAAGAAATGAGCTAACTACTAAATGCAACTCATATTGCATCTTGGGCTGGTAAAACAGTTGATAGAACAATCATTAATGAAAGAGTTATCGAAATGTCTATCAAAATCTACATAATAATATAGATTATTAATACCACATCCATGTTAAATGTCTTGATAATTGTCTTGTGTTTACAAACAAGAATGTTCTTGTTCTTAGAAAACACAACTATTTAAGGATATATACAAACAGAAAATAATAGTGCAAATATGATTTTAAAACATGGTGATAATTGCTAAATATGAATATTTGAAAGTTTTTGTACTATCATTTACAACTTTTCTGTAAGTTCTAAATGAGTTCAAATTAAAGATTAACAAAATGATTAAACACATACTTGCCAATTAAGAGATCTGGGAAAATAAAAGTGTTCCAGTCCTACTCTCATAAGTATAACAGAAAGATAAAGAAACAAGTAAATATGTAATAAATAATTATAAATCATAATAAATGCTACAAAAAAACCTACAGTGTTTAATTAAGAAATAATGGGACTGGGAAGGTTTTAATGGGAACCACTGATGAGAAGGTCAGGGACTGTCTCAGTGAGAAGGTGACATGTGAAAACCCGTCTCTTTGGAGGCACGTGGAAACCCAGGGAAAAGCAACAGAGGCATCTGGGCCAGCATGTGCAAAGGTCTTGAAGTGGGTCCCCAGGTTTTTAATCACAGTCTAAATTTACAAGGAAAGACAGAAAAAAATGTGGCAGCAGGGTACCAGAGCAGCAGGAGTATAAAATCAGAACAGCCTATGGAATTATTTTGGACATATGAACATGGTTCCAACAAGATAATACCACTGCAGATGGTTAAAAAACAACCACAGCAAGGAGCAAGCCAAGTCTTTGAAATGAAATTTCTCATTTGAGTGAAAGAATGAGAATAATCACAAGACCAAGATGTGATAATTCATATAACAGGGTCACCTGCTATAGCCACAAACCAGTCAGTATGGTTTCCAGTGCAGAGGGTAGAAAAGATTATTGGTCCACAGCACAAAGATTATTTGTGCTGACAACTACAGTCATCTTTGAATGAGAAGAACGGTGACCTGGCCCACCTAAAATTTCCTCCAAAAGGATATACACATACCTCTATGGGTGGGGGGGGCGGATAGGTAATTCTTTGATTATACCAGAAATTCATAAATTCTTCGTCAAGAATTGTAGCTGTGTAATGAATCTAAATTTGGAGTTCTATCACATATGTAATTGACAGAAGACTTGAAATACCATCTGTTATCATATTTAAACTTCAGAAATTTTCTCTAGAAATGTTCCTTTTCTTAAGGAAAGAAGACTCTTTAATACTCATTTAGTAGAATAAAAAATGAGATGTTCCAACAGGCTGCCAGCAACATTTTTTTTCGAAAATACAACAGCTGAATTCACAAATTGTCCCAGCATTTCATTACTACATGTTCCTAAACTTATAAAAAGTCCTTTCAACACCAATCAATACAATCGTGAAAAAAGAGGAATAGATCTCTACATTCTTGTTTTTCTATCTTTAAATAGGGTTAATTTAACACTTACCTATTCCTCCATATCTTTCATTAACCTATAGAGTTTATTTTCCTAAAATTCCACAGAAGTTTAAACTCTATTTCCACATTAGCAGAAGGAGAAGCCTATTATGAATAATTATTAATTTAAGCAAATCTGGAGTTTATCTAATTCCTTCTTAAATAAAAGTCAGGATGAATCCAATCAGCTGCACACCCGCTGCGTATGGTGATTAGGTGCCCCTGAACCGTATCTGTTCAACTTGACATCTGTTTCATTGTGTTACAATTATTATTATTATACAAGATGGAGTCTTTAATTCACATCAACATTTTACAGGCATTGCTTCATTGACTCCTCAAAACAACCATTTGAGCATTATAATCTGCATTCTATACAGGAGCAGACTAAAGCCTAGCAAAGTCAAGTTACTTGCCTAAGGTCAATCACTCAGTTACTATACAGTGAGTCCTATTATGTATGTGGTGGAGCAACTTAGTCACCTTTTGGTTGTAACATGAAATCTAGTTCCTGATTCAAGCACTCCAACCTTCCTACACTTAGGAATAGATGAAGGCGCTCTCTCTCTCTCTGTATGTATATGTACTTATATGTATGTACATATATGTGTGTGCACACACATATATACAAACACAAATATATATGTAGATATACATATATACACATATATGTGTGTATATATACATTCAAAGGCATAATATTTTTATACCTACACTGACTAATCGTTAAAATAATTTTTCCTTATGTTAAGAAAATCTAATATGAAACGTTTGGGTAAATTTGACTTTCAATCACCACAATCCTTCCACTTTGTTTCCATTTGCTGTTTTCCTACTCTCTCTCCCTCCCTCCCTCCCTTCCTGCCTTCTCTCTTCCTCCCACCCCACCTTCCTTGCTACTTTCCTTTCTCCCTTCCTGCCTTCCTTCCATTCTTCCTTTCTTTTCTTTCATTTAGTTATATACCCTGCTTTCTTCCCCAAAAGTTTATGAGATACTAAATAATCCCCCTGCTCTTGTTTCTTAACTTGTTCTCATCAGTACATGCACTCAATCCATGCTCTCTGTACCACTCATCACAGAAATAAGTACTGTAACGGTGAGGACTGCTCCCTTTCATATCTGCCCATACAGCACTCATATTTTTATCCTACACATTGTTGAGGTCACCTTACTTTTATGACTTCATTATCCATCAAAGGCATTTCTGCTGCTCAGCATATAATCTAAGTAGATATATCAACTGACTTGTCTTCATTTTAGCTACATTTTCTTTGCCGTCACACCCTAATGCAGTGCACAAGACAAACTATACACATCTCCTTAGTGCTGCACTTAGCAATATTACGCTTAGGCTCACAAGGAGCAAATGTCTACAGTTCATTGTCTTTTCTGATCTCACGTTACCATGTTAGTCTTCTGAAAAGGGCTTCCTGTCTTCATGTGGAACGAGCAGATGTCAGTTAATCAGTGACATGGAAAATAATAATAGTTAAATCCATGGGTTTTCCTACTGGATTTTTTTTTTATACTTTAAGTTTTAGGGAACATGTGCACAATGTGCAGATTTGTTACATATGTATACATGTGCCATGTTGGTGTGCTGTACCCATTAACTCGTCATTTAGCATTAGGTATATCTCCTAATGCTATCCCTCCCCCCTCCCCCCACCCCACAACAGTCCCCGGAGTGTGATGTTCCCCTTCCTGTGTCCATGTGTTCTCATTGTAAAATTTTTGCAACCTACTCATCTGACAAAGGGCTAATATCCAGAATCTACAATGAACTCAAACAAATTTACAAGAAAAAAACAAACAACCCCATCAAAAAGTGGGCAAAGGATATGAACAGACACTTCTCAAAAGAAGACATTTATGCAGCCAACAGACACATGAAAAAATGCTCATCATCACTGGCCATCAGAGAAATGCGAATCAAAACCACAATGAGATACCATCTCACACCAGTTAGAATGGTGATCATTAAAAAGTCAGGAAACAACAGGTGCTGGAGAGGATGTGGAGAAATAGGAACACTTTTACACTGTTGGTGGGACTGTAAACTAGTTCAACCATTGTGGAAGTCAGTGTGGGGATTCCTCAGGGATCTAGAACTAGAAATACCATTTGACCCAGCCATCCCATTACTGGGTATATACCCAGAGGATTATAAATCACGCTGCAATAAAGACAAATGCACACGTATGTTTATTGCGGCACTATTCACAATAGCAAAGACTTGGAACCAACCCAAATGTCCAACAACGATAGACTGGATTAAGAAAATGTGGCACATATACACCATGGAATACTATGCAGCCATAAAAAATGAAGAGTTCATGTCTTCTGTAGGGACATGGATGAAACTGGAAATCATCATTCCCACTGGATTTTAGGGAACTAAGTCACCTTGTTTTCATGCAAGGGCAGTCTTTGCTTTTTTCTGTTAAGAGGGCTGGGTTCATCTGTGTAACATGAATAAAAGCACTCGGCATCATGTTGAAGCCACTGAACTGGAGTCTGATAATTGATCTGCTTCCTTTATTTGCAGTTTTTGATTAGACGCCAGACCTCATTGATGTAATCCACTGTCTGGAAATTAAATTAAAATGAAACCTCCTTGTTTTCCTTTTAAATTCATCTCTGTACTTGGGTAGTATTTTTTTGGTTTAAGTATAATATGTGTGAAGTCTATATCTATGTGAATCATGAGAAAGGAACATACAACAATTATTTTGATGATTTGGGGAAACTTTTATTGCTGAGTGTTATCCCTTCCTAATATTTCACACTTTTCACATCAATACAAAATTACTGCCTAAAGACTTGATGGCTTTTTTAAAACTGAATATCACCCCCTCCTCAACATCATCCTTCTTTATTATGCTCACATTCCTCATGACACCTGTAAATGCTTTAGATGACACTTGTACTTCATTTTACTATTGAAGCACACACATAATATGCATGTCTATGCATTAGAAACATTTAAAGGAGACATCTTTTCATTCTTAGAGTAACCACATGAATGAGGTAGTATTGTTATCCTCATTTGACGGTTAAAACAACAAGTTCAAAAAGGTTCCCCTTTGGACGCCCAAGTCATGAGGCCAGAATTTCAAAGGAGAGTTCACTCTCTTAATTACACTGTTTTAATTACATTGTTTTACAGCCTTTCTGTCACCTTTGTATTGTAGTTTGGTCAATAAAAATAATTATAGGTAGTATCATCATTATTTTACAGCTCAGAGAGGCTAAATGGCTTGTCTAAGTTCACACAGCTAATGAGTAATCAAGGCTCAAACTCAAGGCTTCTGACTTTAAGTCCTTTAGTGTTTCACTAAATAATGTTGTCTTTAATGTTCACATAAAAACAGGAACCAAATTACAATTTCATACTATGAAGGAACAATTTTTAATGCATCCTTCATGTAGATTTATTTTCTTCATGCCAAGGCAGAAACAAACCTACCTGGCTTATTATTTTTAAATAACATACTCATAGATATATATTACACATATGTGGTAAGTTCAAGGATTTGGGGGTTGACCACAGAAAAGGCAAGACCCCAAGAGGCACTACCACAGAGCATGCTTTATTGCAACTTATGGTTGCATGAGAGAGGAAGTTCCTCCCAGCAAGAGTACTTCCAGAGACAGTGGCAGGTGGTCACTACTCAGAAGGAGAATAGGGCAAGGGATCTCCAGGGGAGGAGAACTTGGAGAGGTGGCTTACATGCCTATGTTAGGGCATTCAGCAGCAAACTATTTGGGTTAGAGGGATCAAAGGGCAGCAGGGTTTCATGTCTTTATTGCTGGAGTTTGTCTTATCTGTGGTTAGCAGATGCTGGGTGCAGATTCACAAGCTATGTAAAACAGGCAAGCTCTAAGTGTCTAAAAATATGCTTATTTGGGCTATATTTAAAGCAACTGGATGTGTAAGAATTTGAGTTTGGTTCTAGCTAACCACCCTAGCCTGCTATGAAGAAGTAAACAACGCAGAGGCCAAATCAAGCTAATACACCAGGGCCTTCTTTAGCCCGTTCTATAACACTATACACAGGAACATGGATGAGGCTGGAGGCTATTATCCTTAGAAAACTAATGCAGAAACAGAAAGCCAGATCGCACGTTCTCACTTACAAGTGGGAACTAAATAATAAGAACTTATGAACAGAAAGAAGGAAACAGCAGACACTAACTAGGTTCTATTTGAGGGTGGAGGATGGGAGGAGAAAGAGGAGCAGAAAAGATAACTATTTGGTACTGGGCTTAATACCTGGGTGATGAAATAATCTGTACAACAAACCCCCGTGACATGAGTTTACCTATGTAACAACCCATCACATGTACCCCCGATCCTAAAATAAGTTTATTTACGTATATACACACACAAATCTCTCAACTACTGACTGAATTTCAGGTAATCTGTGAGACAGTGAAAAACAATAGTTAAATCCATGAGTTTTCCTCCTCTTTATATTTTTAACAAACTACTTCATTACCCTGATTTCACACTACAAGCAGAAAGAAATAAATGCCTGGGTTTTGCAAGCCCTATAGTTATTATCATCAAACTCAGCTAGCACCACAAATCATGGTATATGTTATTTGCTTAACCAACTGATGTATAAACTGGATCTTGGATTTTGCCATTTCTATGTATTGTAGCCTCTATTCTGTCTTTAGCATGTTCTCCAAATGACGTGTAGATTGTGGGCTGAGTTCTGGCTGCTAGCTATTTCTGGCAAACTGTTGACTCCTTAAAATATGTATAAAATACCCTATCAAGAACTACAGAATGTTTATGGAATCATTGAAATTTACATAAAAAATCCCTAGCCCTAGGTTTAAATCAGCATTCATAGCCTTAGTGCATGCCCAAAGTTTTCAACATATTTGCTTAAATACTCACATAAAACTTTAGGGTTAAAAGGCACAAATGATAATGTTAGGGAAGTCCTTTAAATTCGTAGATCAGAATAAATGATGTCCCAGGGACACAAAAGTAGATGACAGTAACAATACACGAGAAGTCAGGAATCTTGGCTCAAACTGAGTTCTTGAACTATGCCATGCTACCACTTTATAAATCCTTCACAGTTGGTCTTTGACCAAGAGAATACATCGAAGGTGGATAGTAAGAGGCATAACCACTGCCCCATGTAGTACTTTTAGAATGCTGACCCTTGTCAGATAGGGCTCCATATAGTAAAAAAGACATAAAATAACTGTGAGGGAATAATGATCCACTGACAACAATATCTGGATACTGCTAACACAGACCATATTATTTTCATTGAAAGAGTTATTTCTTTTATTAAAGATATCATAGACCTGATCATTGAATTTGACCAAAAAACCTGGGATTTTTTAATCCTGGTTTGTTCTGAATTTAAAATTTATTTTTAATATGCACAATTATTAGAAATTTCTAAGAAAACACCATTACTGACTAAACCATTCCCTATGCTACACAGAGGTAGTAGGAGGAAGAATGTCTATTTGCTGAGTGTTTTTAACAACCAGATTCTATTACAAAATATGAACAAACAGACCTTTCATTCTGTTTAAAAGAGCTTTTTTCTCAAATTGGGGATTGTCATATGTGGAATGAGGAAAAATCAAAGAAGTTTGGGGGGATTCATTACTCACGTTCATAGAGCCTTTATTAGAATGCTTCCAAAACTTTCTAGAGACAGAATTCCATCTTTTGATAATTAAGAATAAAAGGAAGGACTTCCACATATCTATGTAATATTAAAGGCACCAACTGCATAGTTTATAATCTACACATATTTACACTGATTAATGAACCTGCCAACTAGAATAAATGAAAATTAATCAGAAATTACATTTATGAAATAACATTACATAAAACTTGAAATAATGAGCACATTAAACTTATTTGCCTAAATGTCTTTATCCAGAAGAAGAAGAAAGAGGAAGATGAGGAGGAAGAGGAGAGAAATGTATAGAGAAGAGAGCCCCAGATCAGGAAGCTAAAGATCTGAAACCTGGTCCTACTTCCAGTGCTTATTAATGGTGCAGATTTGAATGAGCCAGTACCCTCCTGAAGCCTCTGTTTCTCCCTCTGCCACTCTGTCAGGGCTGCTGTAAGTGAGCGTTTCTGTGAAACTACAATGGGTCTCCTGGGGAGTGAGAATTGACTGTGACTAGTCTTTTCAGGGAAGTGCGCAACCTGCTCTACAGGACTTGCCTGAGATGGTCTTTGTCTCAGGATTTTGTGTGCATCATATCCTGGGAAAATGATGGTCTGGTCACACTAGATGGCTGCCATTCATCATAAAGCCCCACCCCAGACAACATTCTTTCATACAAAAACACAACTAAACAAGCAAAAAACTCTATAGGCAATTTGAATACATAAATCTCCTCCTTCCCTGGCCTCTGCCCAGAGCTGAGAACCACTGACTTAGGTGAAGTCCACTTAGGGTTGAGTGCAGCTACAAGAGTAGAGTTAATCGGCTGGGCACAGTGGCTCATGCCTGTAATCCCAACACTTTGAGAGGCTGAGGCAGGCGGATCAAGACCATCCTGGCCAACACGGTGAAACCCCATCTCTACTAAAAATACAAACATTAGCTAGGTGTGGTGGTGTGTGCCTGTAATTCCAGCTACTCGGGAGGCTGAGGCAGGAGAATTGCTTTAACCTGGGAAGCGGAGGTTGCAGTGAGCCAAGATTGCGCCACTGCACTCCAGACTGGCGACAGAGCAAGACTTCTTCTAAAAAAAAAAAAAAGAAAGAAAAAGAAAAAAAGAAAAATAAAAACAGTAGAGTTAATTATCAAGAGTACTTTCTGGATAAAATATTGATAAGGTCCTAGGAGTTGCTTAAGACATACTATGTGGTTTAAGGAATTCATAATAGCAGAAGTCTCCATTTATGTAACAACCAATGGAATAAACAGTGCAAAAAGTTAGTTTCATAATCTAAGAAATGTACCATTTTTATTAAAACAATTGTCTCTAAATTACTTTGGCCATTTCTAATTAAAATTACTTCAAATGTGTTTCATCTAATATAGTGTAGAGATTTTACATGTTTTTATTGCATGCTTAGAACACTTGCAAATTCAGTAGGTCTAAAATATAATTTTGACCTTTCCTTAAAGCATACATATCATTATCAAATCATCTGAAAGAAAATCTGAAGCATAAAAAAGGAGAAAAAAATGAATTTTTGAACGAAAGAGTCCTTTTTTCATTCAATCAGCAAAAATTCACTTTTGCCTTTTGTAACCATTTTGGAAATCTAGTTGACTAACTAGAGTTAGTTCAATTCTCCACATTTTTATGTTTCTTATCTAATTTCAAGACAAAGGCAGAAAAAGGTTGTGTCTGGGCACAGCTGCAACACACAGCATGAAATGAACCCCAGCAGAGTGGCCTAGTCACCAAGAGCAGCCAGCACATACCAAATTGGGAGTGATCAATGCATGATGTACCAACTAGAGAGTCTAATTAAATAACAGTGGTTAATTACTAATTAGTATGTGACTTATGTAGACAGAAGTACTTAGACTTGTCAGATGTTAAAAAGAACATTGAAAAAAATCAAAACTCTGTCATTTCAATGATCTATTTAAAAATGATGCATTAGAGGTTTTTTCTGCTATCATTTGCCTAGCCAAAACACACATTGAAGAACCTGTTTTCTCTTTCTAAAACAGATGTCCTTATTCTATTTAAATAATAACATTACCTTTGATGTCATGAAAGACTATAAAGCCTAAAATGTTATAATATTTTGAAGTGGTGGAGAGGGTAACATAGTGTCTAATATCCATTTAAACACCAGTATATTTGAAATATATCATTATTAATCAGCTGGATATATTTTGTTCTTACTTCTTACATGCTTATCAAGTGCATACTTAGAAAGCCCTGGTTTCAACTAAAAACCCCTCTAAGTTAGCCAACCCAGTGACAAGCACTCAGAATACACAAATCTATTTTCCAAGTGATTCATGGTCCCTAGTCTTTGGGGTAAGAGGAGGGCCAGCAGATCCTTGCTTTTAGAAATCATATAAGATTTCTTTCCACAACTGTGAGACTTGGTGGGTTTGGGGTTTTTCCTTTTTTGGCATCTATAGAAAAAAATACCATCTGTCTCATCACCAAAAAAAAAAAAAAAAAAAGGAAAGAAAGAAAAGGAAAAGCTTGATATGGCATAGTGATGCCAACCTTTACTTTCAATTATTTATCACCTAAAACACACACACACACACACAGAAGGCTTCATAAATAATGCTTTCTCCTTTTGTGAAAAGTGTAGGTGGAAATACTACATGTATCCTGCTAAATGAGCAGATCAGATTGATGCTCATCTTTACTAAACATTATTTTTTCACAACCTCACCAAAAATCAAAGTAATCATACCTTTCCCATCTCCTTGGTGATAGTGACACATTTGCCACCTTAAAACAAAAACCCATAAACAAAAGATAACACTCTAAAATCCATGACACATTTGCCTGAAAGGAGGCTTAAGGATGGAGGGACTATTATATAATTTATCAATTTATATCTGTGGCCAGAATAACACTCATCAGAATAATCAAGGATACTTAATTAAAATGCACTTTTCTGAGTCCCACCTAACACCTCACAGAATCTGTATTTTTGGCAGGCACCCAGGTGATACTGATGCAACCTAAATTATAAAGGTGGTTTGTGGGGCTCAGGGTACTCTCCCAATACTTTGCATCATCCACAAACCTTCAGGCACTCTGTTCACCATTGACCTCTGCCTACATTCCCATTAGCTCGTAAAAGATGAAAGAAAACTGTGACTTTGTATTTCCACTAAAGAATAAAGGGAAGTGTGGCAAGAAATCAGGGCAAATTAACTGTCAAGTCATGTATTGTTTCCCATCTAGTTTAAAACACTCATTGATTGAAATGTAGACTTACGTAGTGAAAGCCCTAGAGAAAAAAAATTAAATAATCCCAAAACAGTAATTAAGTTAGACGGAAGAAAGCTGAAGAAAGAAAGAGGAAAGGGGAACCATTCCTAGGGCAGGTGGGACACAGGGAGAAAGGGAGACTCTGCTGTGGCCATAGGGATGGTCCCGTTTCCACCTGGGAGGTGAACTGAGTGAATTCCCAAAGTTAGGTCTGCAAGCAAACAGTGCTAAATTACCCTTGCTAGCTTGGAACTAGGAGGAATGGCTTCACCCAGAGGCTGGGACTGGCTGGATATCTGGATGCCTTTAAAGAAAAGGGAAAGAAGCCAAACATGCCACTGAACAGCACCAGGAGGAGAAGCAGCAGTAGTGAGAGGTAGTGGACATAAGAACAAAGCAGCCAGGTGGGGTTCAGGGGAGGCAGAACCGTATGAACCCCACTCCACTAAAAACTGAAGGGAGTTGGGAGGAGGGGGTAGTGCTATCAATCCATTCAACGGGGGTGACCCACAGATTAACAGTTTATTCCTGGGTATTTTGTTTTATTCTTGTTTTTGAGACACAGAGATTGCAACTCTGTAATATTTCCAAGCTAGTGGGTTTTTGTAATTAAGCCAGTTCACACCAAAATAAAACTCTCTACATCAAAATTTTCTTAAATCCCATTATATCTAAATGAGTTGTATAGTCTTATTTGTTGTTTGGTAAATCCCATTATATCTCAATGAGGTGTATAATATTTGTTTTTGTTATTGTTGCTTCCCTTCACATAACAAACAAATCTGTGTCATATATATATTTAACAGACTATTAGAGGTCAACTTGGGAAATTGTTATACTACTACTTATTTTATTGTTTCTATTAGGAAAATACACTCTGAATCCTGAATTCCGAAGAGTTAATTTATAAGCACATTTTTGGACCAGTACATGTCGGTAATTGAGGACTTCCTGTACAACTAAATTCTGGCAAGTTCTAGCTCCTATAGGTATCTTTGCTACAAATGCTTATCCACAGTGCCCTCTAGCGATTTTAATTCTCATTTCAACATGGACAAAAAAAAATTTGAGCAAAAGCTTTTCCATCTTATGAGATGAACATATGCATGTAAGTCTCAGAATCATACAATCCAAAAATTTTAAGTCCAAAAAATACCAAGAAATCTTATTTGAGTATATTATAGATATATATATTCAAAAATCACTGATCACCATGACACAAAAGAAATATGTTCTTCATGGAATCGATAAATAAAAGCCTTCCTGGGTTTTGTTCTTTTTCAGTTAAGAATATCAATATGGATACAATGACTGACTTAAGACTTCTAATTTAAATTTTCTTTTTCACTTATTTTTTTAAGTCCAGCATCCCCTCTTTTAGATGATACACTGTTCTTGGACAGATCTTGTAGACAGTACGAGTAATAACAGCCAAAGAGGAAAAAAATTTCCTATGGTAACTACATCATCTGTGTCTCAAATCTCTGAGTTATATATTATTACTGTAGCCACCATTTTTTTTTTCTGAACCAAGTTTGCTAAGGTTTTTCAGGTGCCTCTCAACAAATAAAATCTCCTAAGTGAGGCCAATCATAGAAATTACAGCAGGCTTGTGCTGTTCTCAGGCTAGATGCAAGGTAGTGTGCCTTAAAGCTTAATTAAATGATATTATTTTCACATACCGATCACAGTATTTCACAGAACATAGAAAAAAAACGGTACAACAAATAGAGGCTATAAGGAAAGATCAGAGTAAGGAGAACAAAGAAAATGAAGGAAGAAAGAAAGAAAAGTGTCAACATAAAAGCACAACACCAAGGGGAAAAAATAGCAGTAACCAACAGATGGGAGATACCAGTGTTCATTTTCCTTGCTACATCTAGGTGATTAACCATATAGTACAAGAGAGTACACCACCTGTGGAATTGGGTAGTGTAACGTATCTTTTGATTATGCATAGATCTACTTATACTTAACAAATAATAGGAGGTTAGGAAGTTTGGAATAAAACAATGCAGTGGTTTTCAAAGTGTTATCCCAGATTTAGGAGCATCAGCATCACCTGGGAACATGTTAGAAATTCTCAGGACATACCCCAGCTATTTCTACCTCGGGCTCATATCCTCTCTGGAAGCAGACACTTCATGTTAGGTTATGAGAAACTCAGCTCCTCAGGCACCTGGCCTACAGTCATCAGCTTCATCTTTCAATCTCATCTTATCCCCCTCATCCTAACCCCAAGGCCTCATCAGGTCTGCTGAGGGAGCATGTCCATACCACCCTCAGTGACAAAGATAAAATGATTCTGTTATTCTCTGCACCACAGTGGGGTGACTGGAACTCTGCAAGGTTGCCATGGCCCGTCTACCTGCAATGGCCTATCTACCTAGAGCCAGTTCAGCTCTATTGCTTTTGTGCTGTGGGGGACAGGGGGACTTCTGAATACGGCTTCCCACTGCCCAGGCTTCACCGTGAAAAGGACACAAGTCTTTCCTTCTCTAGTCCACAGTTGTATCTGAGGTGTCTATTGTTCTCCCTATGCCCCTCCCCTGAAAGTTTGTTAGGTTTCAAACCCTTTTTCAACTTCCAGTATCCACTCCAACATGTCAGGAGTTTAGAAGTTGCCACTCCATCCTAACAGCAAGCAAACAGCTGAGTGATCTGAAAAATCAACAACTCTTCTTAGATCTGTCAGTGAAGTGAAGTCTTAGGGCAAACCCTACACCACAAATTGGAGAGACAGACAGGCAAATACAGAGAATCACAACTTACCAAAGGAGGAATTCATGAGCAGAAACCTCTTCAGGAACCAATGCTGAGGTACATAAATCTGAGCTGCAATTGATAAACTGATGGAGGCTCGGTGTGGACAAGTCTGAGAGCTAAAACCTCCAGGGAACCCAGCCACGGAGGACCCTCACCCTTCTGTGAGTCTTATCTCCAGGCCCTCACAGCGACTATCAGAGAAAAATTCCCCTGTACTTTCAGCAGTGGGGAAGGAAGAGGAACCATTTGAAATATGAAAGAAAGGATATTCTGTTCTTTGCAAGGCCTGCCCTCCAGACCCTAACCTCTTGGAATTTTATCAGAGCCTAACCTACCTGGGGGAAGGGAAATACCTAACTCCAGACCACCCTAGCCATCATATCCAGCCTAAGTTGGGGAAAAACTGTGAAGCACTGGTGAAGTTCAGAGCCCAGGGCCACAAGCTCATTAAAAGTCTGAGACCTAGACTGGGCGCGGTGACTTACACCTGTAATCCCAGCGCTTTGGGAGGCTGCAGGCTGATCACTTGACCTCAGGAGTTCGAGACCAACCTGGGCAACATGGCGAAACCCCATCTCTACAAAAAATACAAACATTAGCTAGGGTGTGGTGGTGTGAGCCTGTAGACCCAGCTACTTTGGAGGCTGAGGCGGAAGGATCGCTTAAGGCTGGGAGGTTAAGGCAGCGGCAGCAAGCCCTGTTCACGCCATTACTGGACATGAGCTTGGGTGACAAAGTGAGACCCTGTCTAAAAAAAAAAAAAGCAAGAAAGAAAGAGAAAAAAGAAAAAAAGTGTGATACCTAATCAGAGGAGTACAAAAGACTTCCCCTCCCCCCACACCCTACCACTGCATCACTGAAGGCCTATTTAGTGCACTTCTTTCTACCCAGTACATCATGTCCTCCTTTCAACAAGAAATTACAAGGAAAACAATTATAAAGCAAAAACCCCAGTTTGAAAAAACTGAACTGGTATCAGAACCAGAGTCCCATATGCCAGGAATGTTGGAATTGTCAGACCAGGAATGTTTAAAAACTATCGTTAATATGCTAAGGGCTTTTATCGAAAAAAATAACTTGCAAGAACAGATGGATAACATAAGCAGAAAGATGAAATTCTAAGAAAGGATTTTTTTTAAATGCTACAGATCAAAACAAGTGGATCAGAAATGAAGAATGCTTTTGATGGGCTCATTAATAGATTGGACATGACTGAGGAAAAAAATATCGGAACTTTTATTTTTGAGAATATGTCAATAGAAATCTCCAAAACTAAAAAGCAAAGAGGAAAAAAAAAGAAAATAAAAAGGAATATATAAGAACCGTGGGTTAACCATGAAAGGTATAACTGTGTAATGGGAATATCAGAAAAAGAAGCAACAGAAAAAAAAAAAACAAAAACAGAAACAATATTTGAAGCAACAATGACTGAGAATTTTTCCAAATTAATGTTAGACAACAAACCACAGCTCCACGATGCTCACAGAACACCAGGCAGAACAAGTACCAAAAAAAGCACATAACACCTGGGCAAATTGTATTCAAACTGCAGAAAATCAAAGATAAGGAAAAAAATCTTAAAAGAAAACCAGAGGGAAAAAAACACCTTACATATAAAGGAAAAAAGATAAGAAATATATCCAACTTCCCCTCAGAAACCACGCAATAAAAAGAGACTGGGGTGAAATACAGTGTCCCCCTTATCCATGGTTTTGCTTTCCACGATTTCAGTTGCCCTCTGTCAACAGTGGTCTGAAAATATTAAATGAAAAATTCTACAAATAAATAATTCATAAGTTTTAAACTATGCACCATTCTAAGTAGTGTGAAGAAATCTCACACCATCCCATTCCATCCCTCCTGGGAAGTGAATCATCTCTTTGTCCAGTGTATATATGTTTATATGCTATAAATGTATATAGTCACTTAATAGTCTTCTCACTTATCAGAGAACAGACAACAAAACGAAGTTTGGTATAACACCATAAGATATTCTGAGAGAGAAACTATGTTTACATAACTTTTATTACAGTATATTGTTGTAATTATTCTATTTCATTAATATTATTAATATCTTACTATGCCTAACTTATAAAATAAACTTGGTCATACATATGTATGTATGTATGTATAGTAAGGAATATAGTTATATTACTCTATTTTCATGCTGCTGATAAAGGCATACTCAAGACTAGGATGAAAAAGAGGTTTAATTAAGTTACAATTCCACATGGCTGGGGAGGCCTCACAATCATGACGGAAGGCAAGGAGAAGCAAGTCACGTCTTACATGGATGGGAGCAGGCAAACAGAGAGAGCTTGTGCAGGAGACCTCCTCTTTATCAAACCATCAGATCTCATGACATTTATTCACTATCACAGGAGCAGCAACAGAAAGACCTCCATGTATGATTCAATTACTTCCACTTGGAATGAGAATTGTGGGAGTTACAATTCAAGATGAGATTTGAGTGGGACACAGCCAAACCATAACAATAGTATATACAGGGCTTGGTACTATCCTCAGTTTCAAGCATCCGCTAGAAGTCTTAGAATGTATCCCCTACAGATAGGAGGGACTATTGTAATAAAGGGTTGAGAGAAAGGAACTCTTTTTTCTAGAAAAAAACCTAGAATTCTGTACCCTCTGAAATTATTCTTCAAAAGTGAAAGAAAAATAAAGACTTTCTTAAGCAAGAAAAAAATGAGAAAATTTGTTGCTAGTAGACCTATCTTGCAGGAAATGTTAGAAAAAAGTTCTTCAGAGACAAGGGAAATGATATAGGTCAAAACTTCCAATCTTCATGAAGGAGAGCATTGTGAAGGAACAAATGAAGGTAAAATAAAGACTTTTGTTTCTGTTATTCTTAATTGCTCTGACAATTTGTTCAAAATAACAAGAGCAAAAATGTATCTGATTATGTATGCTCATGTGTATATGTTTAGATACAGTTTTGTATAAGTAAAATGAATGATAGCAATTATACAAGGGATGAGAGGGAGGAATTAGGAGTATCTTATTATAAGGTACATGCACTACCCATCAAGTGGTACAGTGTTATTGGAAAAGGGACTTGGATTACTTATAAATGTATATTGTAAACTCTAGGACAAACACCTAAAAAGGTAAGAAAACAAGCATGGTAATATTCTAAGGAGAGAATATAAAATCATATAAAATAATTTAAACCACAAAAGGCAGCAAAAGTGTGGAACACAAAAACAGAAGCAAAGAACAAGCGCAATAAAGAGAAAATAGACAGACGTCGACCGAGGAATAGTGAATCTGGGTAAGGTCTCTGGGAGGTGGAGGGATAGAATGGGAAAACTGGTCTTCCAGGGCCCCTTCCAAGGCTCCGAAAATCTTGGAGCTTCACTTGCCAGGCATAGTGCGCTTTCCTGACACCGCTTCCCCATGTGGCGCAGGAACAGAGCTTCAATACCCAGAGCAGCAGGGAGACATGGCAACAGAGGGTAGTCAAGCTGAGAAAGAGGAAAGTGGCCTCCAGGGAAGCCAGAGCTTACTGAAGTGCTCTTAGGAAGATCTACTCATTGATATTGTACCAAACCTGATGCACCCTCATTTGTCAGAGGTGGCCCCAGGTGGGTGTCAGTGTCACACACAGGGTTAAAACTGTTCCTAGAGCAAACAATGATGAGAGAGCTGAAGGCAGATGCATACTTGAACCCCCAGATGGGGGCTATGTGGGAGACTAATGGGTCTGTGAGAGAGAACTCCAGTCCCAGTAAGAAGTACACCACATAAATAGAGTATCTCGGCCTGAGGGCACTCACAGGCACTTCCAGACCTTCTGATACGATGAAGCAACTGGAACGCCAGAGGCTATCAGCCTACTTCAGAAATTATGCTATCAGTGATTGAGGCCAGAGATCCACCCAAAAGAGTAGATCTTGGAAATATTGATGTTAGAGCAGTTCCTGACCATTTTGCACAAGGATACCCAGAACTGGGTGCAGAAGCATCATCCACAGAATGTCAAAACAGGCTCTGGTCTTGGTGAAACGCTTGCAGAGAGAACCTGGTCAAACAAAGAATAAGGTCACAGCCCATGAGCTGGGAGAGAAGGCAGTGCTCCTGGGAGGAACAGCAGTGACCCCAGACTTCAAGTATAAACCAGCGGAGCCCTAACCAAAGCGAGTGTTCCAGAAGGAATGTTGGAATATATACTGGGTACTACAAGAACAGCTAGGCTGGAATACTCACAAAGAAACCCAGCCTGTATATGAAAGAGTCTTGTATGCTCAACAGGTTTTAGCCTGTGCTGAGCAGAAAAGCACCAAAGACTGGAAGATGGCATCTCAGCTCATCCTGCCTGAGTCCCAGAGTTTGCTGACATTTGAAGAAGTGGTTGTGTATTTTTCTGAGGAAGAATGTCAATTATTGCATCCTCCTGAGAAGACTTTATGATGTTGTAATGCAGAGTATCTGTGAAGCTGTCATCTCTCTAGGGTTAAAGCTAAAATATGACACTGGAAATGATCATCCTGTATCGGTTTCTGCATCAGAAATACAAATGCTAGGATGCAAAATATCAAAACAGACCAGAATGAAATTGTCCAGAAAACAACAGGCAGGGAAAATCATGGTGATATACACAAGGTACAGAAACAGCACTGAGCTTTTCCAAGGAAGTAAAGAAACTTGCCACTTGTAAACAAGAGCTTCCAAAACTTATGTGTCTTCATGGGAAACACCACACAGGAGAGAAACCTTTTAAATGTCAGGAATGTGGGAAAAGCTTCAGTTAGCTCTGATCTTATTAAGTACCAGAGAATTCACACTAAACAGAAGACCTATAAGCGTCACCAATGTGACACAAGGTTTAGATGGAGTTCAGATCTTAATACGCACTACATGACACATCAAAGAGTAAAACCATATAGATGCTCATGGTGCGGGAAATGCTTTAGTCATGACACAAATCTACACACATACCAAATAATTCATATGGGAGAGAAGTCCTTTAAATGTCATGAATGTGGAAAAAGATTCATTCAGAACTTCCACCTTATTAAACACCAGAGAACCCACACAGGTGAACTGCCTTATACTTGTATCATATGCAGAAGAAACTTTAGTAGGTGGTTGAACCGTCTTAGACACCAGAAAAGCCACAGAAGAAGGAAGGCATGTTTAATGTCGCTAAACTGAGAGTTACCACATAGAGCTTCACCTTAGAAGTGATGAAAGAATACAAAATTATGAGGCACTCGATGATAGCAATCTGTCATCAACAGAACATTTGGGAGGGATAGATCTTACGCTTCAGAAAAAGGAATCTAAGCTGTCTTATTCAGCATTTCATCTTCAGTGCCTAGCACAAGACTTATACATAACGAGTATCTTATAAACAAAAAAAATGAAAGTATAGCTATGAGATATCTTTACCTATCTATCTATATGTATGTATCTGGTTATTCGAAGCTTCCCCAGCCCCAGTCATCTAAATTCTTCCAGTATCAGGTGTTTGACAGATATATAACAGTCAAGACTCATTCTTTATTCTTTGTCAGGAGAGAGGGAAAGTAAGAGTATTTGGGCCCTCTCAAGGGAGCTCACAGAGAATTACTAAGTTAGAAACAGTATTAACAGCTATCATTCAATCTGGGAGGCAGTCTTGGTCCTCATCCAGGTATCTGTTTCTTTGTAGGAAGCACAGATAAGTGGTGAATGGTCTTTTTCTGACTTTCATTATGTAGACTGGATGGAGGCTTTCAAACTGGTGCCATACTGCTGCAGGGCCTAAGGGGAGGCCTGTATTTATGGCTGATCAGCTACAACTCTATTAGTCCATTTTCATGCTGGTGATAGAGACATAACCGAGACTGGGTAATTTATATGGGAAAAAGGGTTTAGTGGACTTACAGTTCCACGTGGCTGGGGAGGCCTCACAATCATGGCAGAAGACAAGGTGGAGCAAGTCATGACTTACATGGATGGCAGTAGACAAAAAGAGAGAGCTTATGCAGGGGAACTCCTCTTTACAAAACCATCAGATCTCATGAGACTTATTCACTATCACGAGAACAGCACCAGAAATACTAGCCCCCATGATTCAATTACCTCCCACTGGGTCCCTCCCACTACACATGGGAATTGTAGGAGTTACAATTCAAGATGAGATTTGGGTGGGGACACAGCCAAACCATATCAATACTATTTAGAGGGCTTAGTACTATCCTCAGTTTCAGGCATGCACTAGAAGTCTTAGAATGTATCCCCTATGGATAGGAGGGACCATTGTAATGAAGGGTTGAGAGAAAGAAACTCACTTTTTTTCTTGAAAAAAGCTAGAATTCTGTGTCTTGTGAAATTATTTTTCAAAAGCGAAAGAGAAATAAAGACTTTCTTAGGCAAGAAAAAAAAAGAGGAAATTTATTGCCAGTAGACCTATATTGCAAGAAATGTTAGAAAAAAGTTTTTCAGAGACAAGGGAAATGATACAGGTCAGAAACTCTGATCTTCATAAAGAAAAAAGGAGCATCATCAAGAAATAAATGAACATAAAATGAAAATTTCTTTTTCTTATTCTTAATCTGACAATCTGTTCAAAATAAGAGCAAAAACATATTTGATTATGTATGCTCATGTGTATATGCTTAGGTATAGTTTTGTATAAGTAAAACAAATGATAGCCATTATACAAGGGGTGAGAGGGAGGAATTAGGAATATCTTGTTATTATAAGGTACATGCACTACCCATCAAGTGGTATAGTGTTATTTGAAAGGGGACTTGTATTACTTGTAAATGTATACTGCAAACTCTAGGACAAATATCTAAAAAGTAAGAAAACAAGTATGTCTCTAAACTGAGGAAGGTTACCATGTAAAACTTGACCTTAGAAGTGATGAAAGAATACAAAATTATGAGGCTTCTAATGATAGAAGTCTGTCATCAATAGAATATTTGGGAGAGATACATCTTATGCTTCACAAAAAGGAATCCACGCTGTCTTATTCAGCATTGCATCTTCAGTGCTTAGCACAAGACTTACACATAGTGAATATTTTATAAACAAAAAAAAATGAAAGTGGAGCTATGAGATATCTTTACCTATCTATCTATATGTATGTATCTGGTTATTCAAAGTTTCCCCGCCCCCAGCCATCTAAATTCTTCAGATATCATATGCTTGACATATATAATGGTCAATACTTAGTTTCATTATTGATTCTTTGTGAGAGATGGAAAATAAGAGTACCTGGGCCCTCTTCTCAAGGGAGCTCACAGAGAATTACTAAATTAGAGACAGTATTAAAAGCTATCATTCAATCTGCATGAAAAACCAAGCCCAGGCCTCAGGGAATTTTACTCTGTAACAGCAAGAGAGGATTCAATGTTTGCCTTGGGAAAAATGCCCCATTCTAGTTGTTTCTCTCCTAAGTACCCACTACCACAATGTCTTCTGTCAAGGAATTACAAGTAGCAAGGGAATGTCTGAATGCAAGGACAGATCTAGGTACCTTGCAAGCACTTCATATCTCCCTTCTTGCCGACTCTGTCTACACAGACATACAAAATGACATGAAGAAGAAGGCAGTCTTGGTCCTCACCCCGGTATCTGTTTCTTTGCAGAAAGCACAGATAAGTGGTGAATGTTCTTTTTCTGATTTTCATTATGTGGACTGGATGGAGGCTTTCAAACTGGTGCCATACTGCTGCAGGGCCTAAAGGGAGGCCCATCTTTATAGCTGATCCGCTACAACCCTATGTATTAGTCCGTTTTCATGCTGCTGATAAAGACATACTCGAGACTGGGTAATTTATATAGGAAAAAAAGGTTTATTGACTTACAGTTGCACGTAATTGGGGATGCCTCACAATCATGGCAGAAGGTAAGGAGGAGAAAGCCATGTCTTACACAGATGGCAGCAGGCAAAAAGAGAGATCTTGTACAGGGTAAACTCCCCCTTATATAATCATCAAATCTTGTGAGATTTATTCACTATCACAAGAATAGCATGGTAAAGACCCGCCCCCATTATTCAATGACCTTCCACTGGGTCTCTCCTGTAACATGTGGGCATTGTGGGAGTTACAATTCAAAATGAGATTTGGGTGGGGACACAGCAAAACTATATCACCTATATCACCCTCTATGTCTGAATCCTCTGCAAGAAGGCCTGGAGATTTTGCAAAACTGATTTATTGAGAATGGCAAGGACAGCGCTGTGACCTCTTAGCCTTGATGCACAGCTAATACCAGCAGGAAACATCCTGAAGTGTCAGAGCAAAATAAGGCATGTGGCCTAGAGTGATGACCCCAGTCAGAGCAAGGCTGGATGGAATTGTTTTCTGATGTTATTGGTTTTCTTCTTTACCCTATTAGCCAATGTGACTATCTGTTATGAAAAGATAATGTGATGTCAAAGGAAGTTGGAAGGTATGGATTTATGTCAGATCCTGGTTTATAATGTTGGCCAAGGCTTCTATATATTTAGTATTTCATAAAATTGTACTTTTTAATGAAAATGACGTTTCACGTTAAATTTAGACATTAAACAAAACTTTGTTACCAAATCACCCAGAAATGGCCAATGTTCACTTATTTGCAACAGAGGTCTTCAGGTATTTTTTCTACCAAGAATCCGTTCTAATCTTGTTTACAAATTTGTAAAATGAGCATAATAATTCCTACCTCCTAGGGCTACTGTGAGAATTAAATGCACACATGTGAGCATGCCTGACAATGACTGGCCACAGTAGATGTTTCCTAAACATTTGGAACTTTCTTCATTCTTCTTTCAGCTAGTTATTAGAAAATAAGCTTTGTCTACTACTTGTCCGGCTTTTAAGCATCCTTCATTAATGAGTTTTCCCACATTTCTAGCTGGTATTTAGGCCCACTAATAATGGTCAGAATGGTAGCCTTCTGCATGATATTTCTTTCTGGAGGTGCTCCTCTCTAGTCAGCCTGAAACAATATACTGATGTCCCAACTCAGCTAGGTATACTGCTCATGAGTAACAAAACAAAAATATACTAGAAACCCCCAACTTGACATTCCTGAAAATGGAGGGGAGGTGATGGCTGGGGGTGGAATTTTTGTAGACAATATTTATGCTCTTAGGTGCATCCTCAAGCCAATAAAGTAGAAATGAAAGAGGAAAGAGGTGATCATATAAACTGGCCACTAAAAAGAATGAAAATGCTAAGCCAAGAGGAGGAAGCGATCTGGGAGGAAAAGATCTCATTATATTCCCAAAGGCTGAAGATTATGACTGTGCCACCATCCTCCCTACAATGATCTGAGATTATGCCCTTGAAATTAAAAGGGGAAATTCAACTTCCTGCAGAGGGCTCCATTCTCTTTGTGTAAATCCATGTTTGCTGGCATCCCGGATAGATGCTAGCATACCATCATTCCAAAGAATTTATTCATGTAGCTTTTAGAAAGAAAGGAAGTTAACTCAAAAATTCAAGGATGTACTAGATCAATGGACCCAGCAGTTATTGCTCCTCATGAGGATCAGCAAAGTCCCCAGAAACAAGTCAGCAAAAGAGCACTCCATTTTCCCAAAGCTGCTTACCCCTGTTATAATCCCTGTTAGCTTCAAAGCTTATCGTGCAGGTCCATCTACACTGGCATCATTACCAGCAGGGTTCGAGAGCAGGAAACATGGTTCTATTTGAGAGATCAATTATTTATGGCAGGTGGCAGGAAATGATTACCTTTAGATGTGTCTGAGCAGAAACAGAGAATTGAGATTTGTTATTCCAAGTTCAGATACTCCACCATTATTTGAGTACAAGGGCTCCAGAAAAAAGCATATTCTCATCCCTGAGGTTGTAGAACAGGACCAGAATGTCAGGGCTTCTGACTGACTCATTAGTGCCAAGTCTGCCCTTTCAGCCCTCTGACACAGTCCCCCAGGGCCACATTGCCTATGCATCCTGACTACTCATGTCATTTCCTTGCCATCACAGAAAAAGAGAAAAATCATATGTCCATGGAGACATGGGCAGTAAGGAAAGAAATGGCAAAATGAGATAAAGGAGAAAGATGTCATTCTACTGCATATCTGCCCACCACCTCCTCAGCACATGGCTAAGAGACATAAACTCCATTGCCTTTCTGAGGACACAAGAGAAAGACAGCATACAAAAGCTCAGGGACTAGAGAAATGGACAGATTATTCATGCATGGGACAGAGTGAAGAGGCGGAATGCTCCAACTCCAGATCCCACAGGCAGAGATGGAACTGAAGACCTGAACCAAGTGTGAGGGGGTGTGGGTTCATATTTCAGTCTCCCAGAGAAGATGGGCTGAGCGGAGAAAGACAAGAAAGGGTCTGTGAGAGCAGAGGACTGCAGGCTTTTTCCACCTGTGTGCATTTGTGAGGCCTGAGGTTGGAAGTCAGGAATTCAGGCACAGAATGCCATTGTTTGCGGTGGCTGAGGCACAAGAGCATGTGAGTGGGTCAAGCCTACCCTGTGCTAGATTCAGGTCTCCATCTTTCCCTCCCAGCAGACAATGACATGGCTTCTACCCATGGGCCTTTTAAAGTTTCTTCTAGGTTTTTCTCCACTCCCAAGAAACCTCTTCCTCCTTCATTACCTTGTTCCCTCTGCCACAAGCCAATCTTGCTCCTGCCACTTTGCCACTTCCATTTTCCCAGGGCAGTAGAGGAGGAGGGGGCCAGAGGCAGGGCCTAGTGAGTGTTACTGTGTTCCACTGTTCCCAGAAGAATGGGCACAATAACTGAGAATGGCAGGCAGGGTTGGGGAGAAAAGAATAAACAAAAAAGAATGATGGCCTAGTCTTTGTCAAGTAAGTTAAAGGCCCTCCTTGCTACCTCCTCTTTATTCCTTGAAAAATAGTAAATGGCAGGTAGGTGGGCATGGTGATGACCATGTTGGGGAGGAACCTAAAGGAGGGAGCCACCTACAAAGTCCTGTCCCTGGCTCAACAGCAAAGCCCTCCCATTCTCATTCTTGTCTTCTTTAACTTCCTCTTCTCCGTCCATGCTGCCCACTCCTTCCTACCACTGTGGGTTCAGACAAGGGACACTGGTAGAGAAGGAAGAAGGGACAGGGAGCCAGGGAAACTCTCAAGGATCGATAATCATGAGATATGAGGGGAGAGGTCAGAAGCCATGTTTGAGAGCAGTAGAAGGACAATGTCACCCTTAGATCTGGACAACCCAGGGAAAGGAGGGAGGGAAGGAGGCCAGGTCAGCTTTGGGAAGCAAACTCCCAGCTCCAGGGCTGGGAGTTAGGGATGAAGTAGGGAGGAAGAGCTAGGCAATGCCTAGAAAGATTTCCCTTGTCCCTCCTCAGGCTCTGGGTATCTCAGGGTGAGACTTTGGATGACAAAAAGGAACTGACCCCAACCCGAGAGCTGCAGCAGACACTTCAGAGGGACTCTGAGTTTGGTAGCAAAAGATCTCATCCCTAAAGGGGGTTGTCTCTTCAGATTGTACCCGTGCATCTGCCCATCTCCAAGGCCTCCATTAGGGAGGCCCTCAGCTTCCATAAAAGGGGTTATTCTAATTTTATTTCTTCACCTTGGGCCCATTCTGCTGTAAGTGACAAGAGTGTAAAAACCTTATTTTGGTGGCATTCTCTATGTTGAAGCCTCGTGCAGGTGTTCTCTTGGCTGTCTCCTATAAGTCCAGGAATCCCTTCTTAGGATGGTCTGGGCTTTTTGTTGTTGTTCCTCTTGGAGGGTTCCAAACCTATTCTCTCAGGATATCCCCTCAGCAGAGGTTTCACTCCTGAATTCTTTAAGAAAGAGCTGGCCTGTTAACAGGTGGTGCCATGTCCTCCAGGAGCACTTCTTGTCCCTGTATACAGTCTGATTGCCCCTCCTCTACCCATTCTGAAGCAGGAGAGTCACAGGAAAGGATGGACACTGGGAAATTCCCCTGGAAAGGCAGAATCCTCAAAACATCCCAGCTTGAGATTTCTGTGCCAAATATTCAGTAATTTTTCTCAAATACAATGGTCACAATGTCACTCTTCCACTCGTAAAGCTGCAACAGCTCCCAGTTCCCATACCCTTGAAGTCCCACTCCCTCCTTCAGCCTCAAGGCCTTACTTCGCCTTGCCCTGGATGATAGCCACTCTCTCTCCTCTGTTCCAGCTCACATATACTAGATGCTGAACCAGGCTGTGAATTTGTCTTCAATTATGCTTTGTTTTTAGCCCCTAATATTGCCTCCTGACCTGTCCAAATCCTTTCTTTGGCATCACACCCTGTTTCCTCCGTGTAGCCCCCACAAACTCACTTCATAGTGTCCTCTTAGAACAGCTTCTGGAATCCAGAATTTGATTAAACACCTATCAGTGGGTCCCTATACCACAGTTGCTACTTCAATTGGTCTGGAGTAGGGCCAGAAAACTGGCATTTCTAACAAGTTCTCAGGTATGCTGATGTTCCAGCAACCCCACTTGGAGAACTACTATCTTAGAGCACCTCTCCTGTACTTTCTCCAGAGGGGAGGGGTTGCCTTAGAAGCCTAGTAATTCTACCAAAGGCTGGCCCAGAGCTAGGTATCTATATACACTCTCTGAATAGATGGGCCTGACCATTTTAGGGTTAAATGTGAACTTAATATGTACCTTATTTTCATCCAATTGGCAAATCTGCACCAATAATTAAGAGTGGTACAAAATCTCCATATGTTCCCTCAATGTAGAAGCTTCCAATGCCTGTCTTCCTAATTTTCCTGATGTCTCCGGGACTGCCAGAAGCCTTCGAGGAGTCGAAGACCTCTGGGTCTCCATGAGCAGGAACTCATGAACTAGCACTTCTTCCATCTGCTTTTCTGGGCCCTTGCACATCAGTCACCACAACTTCAAAGCTGGATACATAGTGAGGACCTCTGGGATCTGGTGACCTCTAAGGGTGGAACTGACCTCAACACCCAGGAATCATCTCTGCAAACTGGTTTTTCTCTTTTCTAGTGCTGTGTCTCCTCCACTTTGCTACCTGTTGGCCCTCTGCAACTCAGCCCACCTTGCACGCTGTCCCCACTGAAAACCGACCCGGGAAGAGGTCACAGAGAAGCCTGAAATGATGTAGCAGGGAAGTGCAGGGACCTACTTCTCTCCAGGGAGATTCAATTTTCTCTGAACACTCTTAGCCCTTGCTTCATTCTGGAGGTGGGCAAGGGCTAGATCCATCCAGTGTCCCGGAGGTACAGTTGACAGTGTGCTGAGTAAGACTCAGCCCAGTTGCCCAGGCCTGTCCAAAGTCCTCTGAGAAAGTTGGGGCTCCCTCTAGTGGTTTCAGAGAGTCCTCACCTCTGGGGCCTGCAGCTCCTCAGCCCCTACAAGTCAGCAGCTGCACAGGTGTTTAAGACCCAGAGAGGCCTCTGGAGATGCAGTCTGAGGAGCAAGTCCTGAGAAGTCCTTAGTCAGCTGTATTCAAACAAGGGTCACTTGCCTCTGGGAGTACACAAAGACTGCCCCGGGAATAGTGGGCATGAAGAATTCTAAAGGAATCTATTTTCAAATCCTCAGTTCCATACATACTTCTTCCCCAGACCTATCCAAGAGAAACCTCGAGGGAGGTTCTCTCCTGCCTTCCTTTCACTAACCTCTTCCACCACTTTCTCCTTCCCTGAACTTACCCGGGTACATTGCCCCAGAGTTTACCACCTCCCAGGAGCCAAAGGGGCTTTCAAAATATCCTAGCCCAGGAAAGGAGGAAAGGCTGGGAAGGAAATCCTGCATAGCAAATGATTTCCTGTGTTTTCCTTTCAACAGAACTGAAGAAGGACTTCATCAATTAGTCAGCTGATCATTGGGCAAAATTGATGATAGTTCAGGATTTAATTTGTGCCATATAACTCTAAAGGAAATTTAAAATTTTGAATGACCTTATTATAAGAAAATTCCTTTCATTCCCATTAACATACCATCTCTGAAAATAAGAAATAGAGATTTAATTGGTGGTGAGCCAAGCTTTATTCTGGAAATAACTAATATTAATTCATGGTATGAACTAATTTCAAAAATCCATCTATATCCAGCCGGGCACGGTGGCTCACATCTGTAATCCCAGCACTTTGGGAGGCTGAGGCGAGTGGACTGCTTGAGCTCAGGAGTTTGACACAAGGTTGGGCAACATGGTGAAACCCCGTCTCTACAAAAAAAGAAAAACAAATAACAAAAATACTAGCTGGCTGTGGTGGCGTGTGCCTGTAGTCCCACCTACTTGGGAGGCTGAGGTGGTAGGAAACACTTCCGCCCAGGAGGCAGAGTGAGTGAGCTAAGACTGTAACACTGCACTCCAGCCCGGGCAACACAGCCAGACTCTGTCTCAAACAAACAAAAACCATCTGCATCATTAGAAGTGGGATTTTTAATACATTTTAATTTTTCCTCATAATTATTTAAATGTATAACATTTTTCTGGTTTGATCAAAAGCATTTAATAACTGTAATAGCTCAGTCAGAAGAAACATAGCACTTAGCCTCATGGTCACAAGAAAGTTTTTCTATTTATATGCATTTTAAAAGAAACCTTTTTGGAAGCATGACACACAAACAGGAGTATTTAGTGTAAAACTCAGTGAATTCTTACTAAGTGAACATCCTTGTAATTATCATCCAGATCAAGAAAAATAACATACAGCAGCATTCTAGCATTCTAGGAGCGGAATGACTGGAATATTGATATATGTTCACCTTCTTTATAAACTGCCAAAGTGTTTTTCAAAATGTACCAATTTACATTCCGAATAGCAGTGTATGAGGGTTTCCTTATCCTTGTCAACATTTGAGATTGTCTTTTTCATTTTAGCCTTCCTAGTGAGTGAATTGTAGTACTGTATTGTGGTTATAATCTGTATTTCCTTGATGATCAATTAAGATGTGTTTTCATGTGTTTGGGTATTTGAATATTCTCTTGTGAAGTGCCTGCTAAGTCTCTTGACCATATTTCTATGTCTATCTTTTTTCTTACTGATTTGTTTGATTCTAAATTTGAGTTGTTAGATACATATACTGCAAATATCTTCTCTTACTTCCTGGCTTGCTGTTTCACTCAGTTAATGATGTCCCTTGATGAAGGGAAGTTTCAAGTCATAATGTAGTCCGATTTATCAAATATTTTCTTTCATTATTAGTGCTGTTGGAGTTCTGGTGAAGAAATAACTGTCTACTCAAAATCATGAAAATAATTTCCTATGTTTTAATTTTCCAGTTGTATTATTTTACAAGTTTAGACTTACACTTCATCTGGAATTGATTTCTTAAATAAAATGTGATATGTCCAAAATGAATAAATAGAAAACAGTAACAAATATGGTAGACATTAACCTAACTATAACAGTAGTCACTTTAATATCAATGGTCTAGAAACACCAATTAAAAGAAAGATTATCAGGGTGTATCCAAAACCAGGACTCAAATATATGTTGTCTACAAGAAACCCACTTTAAATATAAAGACATATAGATTAAAAGTAAATGGATAGATAAAGATATACTATGCTAACACTAATTAAAAGAAAGTTATATTCTTGGCTGGAGCCCTGACAACATTTCCAGTCCTTGCCTTTCCCTCTACCAATGTCTGGATGATTTTGTTTCTGGAATTCCCAAGCAGTAATTTAAGTCCTGTGCTTGCAGGCAGAACCACTATCCTATCTACAAAATAATCTAGGTATTGCACCAGTTGTGAGGGATTTTTGCTATAGATTTTACCTTCCCTAGTTGATTCCATAGCGCTTTAAACACTGATTTGGACTTATAGCCTAGCAGCCAGACACTCTACTAGACTAGTAAGAACACTATCTGTTTATCTCCCTCTCCCTATGCAGTTGTGAGAACCAGCTCTATCACAGAATCTGGCATAAGTGGTAATATTAGCATGAGTGCATGCATGAACTTTAAAAGGAGATTGAACTGGATTCAAATCTGGGCACCAACACTTACTAGGTATGTGATCTTGGGAAAGGTCAGAAAAGCTCTCTGAGGCTCAGTTTCCTCATATACAAAATGGAGAGAACCATAACAACAATGGCATATCAATAATAAGAATGGTAGTAGGAGGCAAAGAGGAGGTGGGCCTACAGGGCTTTATAGTAAAACTTAGATGAGATAATATTGATTTGCCTAATTCATGCGAGGCCCATGCAAGCACTCAGTAAATACAATGCCAGTGACAATGGTAATGATGATAATGAAAATAAGAAATTACAGATTCTATATATGGTGTTCTACATAAGGTGTTCTTATTTTTAGAACTTAAGGGGAATAGAATTGGAGGATGCAAAGGAAGAAGCAGAAAGAAACCAGTCATCTTTAGCAAAGAAATTGATAACTAGTCCCAGTTAAATATGTAGTCTGAACTTGATGGACAGGGTATATATTGAAAATAGAAGTGGAGATATTCAAGTAGAAAAAAAGGAAGATCTCCTTATTGTTTCTTATTAAGTCCCCTGTCCTTATACCAAAAAAATAAGAAGAAAAATGGAAACAAAACTAAAACAAGCAGGTACCTATGCATCATTTCACCTGTTCTTGCTGCTATTTCTGTTGGAGAGAACCACATGGAGAGAGAAGTTCCAGAAATACTCTGCTTCAAGACTATGAATCTTAATGGTTGCATATGCAGGTTTTGGAGTCAAATATATCTGGGTTCTATGTTAGTTCTACCACTTTCCAGCTTACCCAATCTCTCAGGGCCTCAGATTTTTAATCTTTACCCTTCTAAAGCAAATGTATTAGAACATTTTGTAAAATGCCACAGAAATCCAACTCAAACTAGCGTCAACAAAAAGAATCTACTGGCTTAAGACTGAGCCGCCAGAACAACTGGAATCACAGGCACTGTCTGGATAATTTTTCTGACTCTTGTATCTGCTCTCTATATTGTCAACTTAATTTCCTCTTACTGACACCAACAAATATGCCCAGTGAAAGTTCCCACTGCTTCAGCTACCAGGGAGGTTCCAAGTTAAAATTTTTTTCCTAAGGTAGTGCTCCACTAAGCTCATTTTGAGTCAAGTGCCCATCTCTGATCCGACTAAAGACTGCCACTGGGATATGGTTATACAAGATGATGGCTGCTCCTATAGTAACCATAGTAGACAACAGAAGAAAGGATCATGCTGGGAGAAAATCCCACAGACATTCCCTAAATTTATTTATTTATTTATTTATTTATTTATTGAGATGGAGTCTTGCTCTGTGGCCCAGGCTGGAGTGCAGTGGCGTGATCTCAGCTCACTGCAAGCTCCTCCTCCCAGGTTCACGCCATTCTCCTGCCTCAGCCTCCCAAGTAGCTGGGACTACAGGCGCCCGCCACCACGCCCAGCTAATTTTTTGTATTTTTAGTAGAGACAGGGTTTCACCGTGTTATCCAGGGTGGTCTTGATCTCCTGACCTTGTGATCTGCCCACCTCGGCCTCCCAAAGGGCTGGGATTACAGGTGTGAGCCACTGGCCCCAGCCAATAATGTTTCTTTAAAATTTTAATGATACGTTTCAGTGAAAATGGATTCATTAACTTTTAAGTGAAAATGAAATAAAACTGTATCTAGGAAACAATCTCAACTTTAGAAAGCATAATATATACCAAAATCACTGTAAGAAAATGCGCTAAAACATTAATAGTGTTTACTTGGATAATAGAATCATGAATAACTTTCATTTTTTCTAAATGTTTTACTTGTTCTATATTTTTTCTTCAATAAGCTTGTATTACTTTTACAATCAGCATGAAACAGTAAAAGATTTCTGTTGTCATTTTTTTTTAACATTACCTATATTTGTTTCAGGTTAAATTCTGCAACACATTAAGACAGGCTCATACATAACCCTAGTTAAAATCCAGGGGAATGAGACAAAGTTCTACAAGCTTTCTTGTGACTTCTACAGTAATTGTGAAAGTTGTCCAGAGAATATATGAGTTTATTTGGAGACAAAACTCCAGAACAAGGAGTTTTCAGAGATGATTCATTAAAATCACATCAGTTGTTAATTTTATAATCTGGAAATTTATCATATTACTGTTATTGTTTTGGTAATGTGGGGATTATTAGTCTGTTTTCTTGTAGCCTGTGATATCTGAGCATTCAGTATTCCACAGATCATACAAAGTCCAGATCACTAGCTAGCATTATCTAATGGGAGGGAGGTGAGAGATGAAAGACTACATATTGGGTACAGTGTATATTGCTCAGGTGATGAGTACACTAAAATCTCAGAAATCACCACTAAGAACTTTTCCATGCAACCAAACACCACCTGTTCCCCAAAAACTATTGACTTAAAAATTTTAAAAAACAAGAAGACAAGTAATCACTAGCGATGGCTTCTTTACAGTGCTTCAAAGAGTATGGAGAGAGAGTTCCAATCTATCTGGTAACAACAATGTCAATCCCTGTGTAAACACTAAGGCATCTAAAATCAATCACCTTTAGGAGATACCAGGTTTTACAAAAGGTATCTAGTCAGAGGGAAAAAAACCACAGGCTTCAGAGTCAAAGTTTAAAGGCCAGTTTTGCAAGCTCTGCGGTCTTCAGCAAATCCCTTAATTTCCTTTTTTTTTTTTTTTAAGACAGAGCCTTGCTGGAGTGCAGTGGTGCAATCTCGGCTCACTGCAAGCTCCGCCTCCCGGGTCCAAGCAATTCCCCTCCCTCAGCCTCCTGAGTAACTGGGACTACAGGCATGCACCACCACACCCGACTAATTGTATTTTAGTAGAGATGGGGTTTCATCATATTTGCCAGCATGATCTCGATCTCCTGACCTCGTGATCCACCCGCCTCAGCCTCCCAAAGTGCTGGGATTACAAGCATGAGCCACCACACCCAACCGAATTCCTTAATTTCTGAAGCTTCAATTTTCTCACCTATAATAAAGATAATGCTTCTAACATATAAGATTGCTGTTGGATTGGATGAGATAACACATGATATTCTCATTATCACAGGTAGTGCTTCTAGCACACAATAGGCACTCATCAAAAGTTCACTTCCTCCTTCATCTCCCATCCCAATTCCTCTTCCCAGTCCAACGAAGACCATTTTCCATCAAACATAATATGTTAAATAAATAAATGCAAAACATGATTTCTCTTGAGCATATATATTCACTATGAGAAAAGGATAATTATAAACCTTTCTTTCAATTAATTGAAAAGGAATAGTAGCTATAAAATACACTACTAGATAAAAAAGAAAAAACTATATGAAATGTTTGGACCATGTAACTATTGCTAATAAACAAAATCCTGGATTTTACTACTGTTTTGTTGATGTTGTTTATTTGCATGTTTGTTTTGCTTTCCAATCTCTGATCCTCCAAAATAACAAAGCTTAAAGATTGCACAAAAGTTATTCCATGGGAAAAAAATTTTGGCCATCATCAAATGCTAGGCTTAAAATCACTTAGGAAACTCTTTTTTATTATAATGAGAGATAGGAATATAAGATAAAGACTTTTCTTGTTGAATCATGATATTCTATAGTCACCAAATATTTTAAGGGGTCTATTATTAATAAACATGCCTCCATTCCTCAGAGATGTAGCTTACTGCCTTAGTTCTGACTGGAGAAAGCACAAAAATAACAATGTTTCTTTACCTCTGGAAAGAGCATGGAAACTTTTAATACGATGGTCCCTTTCCTCAAAAACAGACAAGTTGCAAGTATGAAATTTGGCATTGCTGACCTGAACCAGAAGACATTTATAGGCCTTCCATGGACTCAGGTTGGTCCCTGACTTAGCAGGATTAAGAACATCAAAATATTCTACATTAACATCTCCATTCTCATGAAAACATTCTCATGAGCTTTGAAAGAAAATAAAAATCTTGTCCAGACACAGTTGCTCACACCCATAATCCCAGCACTATGGGAGGCTGAGGTGGGTGGAACACTTGAGCCCAGGAGTTCAAGACCAGCCTGTACGACATGGCAAAACCTTGTCTCTACAAAAAATACAAAAATTAGGTGAGTAGGGTGGCACATGCCTGTAGTCCCATCTACTGAACAGGCTGAGTTGGGAGAATCACTTGAGCCCTGGAGGTTGAAGCTGCAGTGAGCCAAGATTGTACCACTGCACTCCAGCCTGGGCAAAAGAGTGAGACCCTGTCTCAAAAAAATAGAAAAAAGAGACAAAAAGTCTGAATTATAGGTGGTTTTTAATTTAATATAAACAATTCTATATCTGCTGCCTGCCTGAGATAGATACATAGTGATGTTTTTTTCACCTCCCTCCCATTTTCTCCTCATATCTTCCACCCCCCTCCATCTTCTCCAAGTCTCTCCTCTCAATCCCAAACCCTAACACAAGAGTCTAGTGCACCAGGGATATATGTGTGCTCAATCATTAGGCTTAGGAAATGCTTACATCTATGTAATCTGTCCCTTGAAAGAGTTAAGGATCCCTTGAATTGAGCTGAGGCATATAGTACAAGTGATAATGATAAGTGTAACAAACACCCGTTGTTGAGCATCCATTATGTGCCAGGCACTGTGCCAGGTGTTTCACATTTCATACTATAAAATTCTCTCAACACATCTGTAAAGTAGGTGTTACTATAACATCCATTTTACAGATGTACAATATTTTATAGCCAGGAAGTAGCTCAGTTGGGATTGCATTCTGGCACAAAGACTACAGTTTGTCTAACTGATGCCCTAGAGGTTTACTTGAATGTCTTTATTCCAGAAAGACCAAGCAAAAGACTTTAGCTAAAGTATCACATTTATGTGACCTTTTCTCTGCCTACATAATCAAGGCAGTGTCTACTTTCTGTAGCTTTTCTTGCACTTTTTGTCTGAACTACTGAACATTTGTTCCACACTGCTGTGTATTGTTATTCATTCAATATATATTTAGTGAGTATCTTCCTTGTGCCAAGATTTGGACTCTGGGGAAATACCAGTGAACAAGATGTAGTCTTTAACCTCAAGCCTCTTGGGTTTAAAGATGAACAAGGACATAAAGGTTATTACACCTAAGGGATCAGGGAAGACTTCTTGGAGTTGGCATATAAACCAAACCTTGAATGATGAGTCGAACATAGCCTGAGGAAAGGAAGCAAAATGGGGTCCAATAATGCAACTTGTGCCACAGCTCAAGCAGGAAGTGAAGCTGGGGGCCTGGGCCAGACCTGGACACATGCATACCTGAGAGAGCATGGAGAGCTGGAACACTGTCTATTTCAGAATTTGGACACAAAGTCAGAGGACATATGTGGTATAAACAAGCCTGAAGAAGCAGTCAGGTTGGGCATGGTGGCTTATGCCTATAATCCCAACACTTTGAGAGGCTGAGATGGAAGGATTGCTTGAACCCAGGAGTTCGAAACCAGCCTGGGCAACATGGTGAGACCCGTGTCTACAAAAAGTTTAAAAAACAAAAAAGAAATTAGCCAGGCAGGATGGCATGCACCTGTAGTCCCAGCTACTTGGGAGGCTGAGGTGGGAGATCACTTGAGCCTGGGAAATGGAGGCTGCAGTTAGAAACACACCACTGCATTCTAACCTGGGCAATACAGTGAGACCTCATCTCTAAATTAAACAAATTAATTAAATTAAGTTAAAATTAAAATAAACTAATTCGGAAGTACATGGAGAGCAATGAATTTTAAGACAGTGGTTATTATGCTCAGACTTGCCTTTTTTTTTTGGAGACAGGATCTTACTCATTCACCCAGACTGGAGTGTACTGGAGTGCAGTGGTGCGATCTTACCTCACTGCAACCTCCACCTCCCAGGCTCAAGTGATCCTCCCACCTCAGCCTCCTGAGTAGCTGGGACTACAGGCATGTGCCACCACTCCCAGCTAATTTTTGTATATTTTTTGGTAGAGATGGGGTTTCACCATGTTGCCCAGGCTGGTCTCAAACTCCTGGGCTCAAGCAACCCGTCCGCCTAGGCCTCCCAAACTTGCATTAAGTTCAGTTTGGCTTCAGTGTGGAAAATGGGTCACAAAGGCTGAGACTGGAAACGGAGAGAGCAGTTTGGAGGCTGCTGCCGTCATTCAAATGAGAATGGATGACGGTCTCATTTAAGATGATAGTATGGAAAACAAAATAAGATGTAATAAGCAATCTCTCTCTTGCTCTCACTCTTGCTCTCTCTCTCTCTCTCATTTTGTCCGTAGATAATAATTAGAACTAATATTTACTGAGCATATATTATGTAGCAGTCTCTTTCCTAAGTGCTTTATATTTGATTCCTTTAATCCTCAAAACAAGCCAGTTCCTCATTATATACATTAGGAAACAGATTGAAATCAAGTTACTTGGCCGAGGTCCTTGAGGAGGTCAGGGACAATATCTTATATTTCTTTCATTTTGGACAGATAGATAGACAGAGATAGATTAGATAGATAGATAGATAGATAGATAGATAGATAGATAACAATAAATATTTGTGGATTGGTTATTACAATTATTATCCAGTGGAACAAAATTTCTTGGACAATTTCTTATCTCCCGAGGTGCTCAAATGGAGACTATGTGACGATTTGTCAAGGATATTTTGAAACAAAATCCTATATTGTGTGGAAGTTTTTCTCAGAAAATCCTAAGGCCCCTAATAATACTAACATTCCGACGACTTTATAATTGGAGGAATTTAAAGGATGCATGACTTGATCATTAAAAGAGAAACCTCTGAGCTTGCAAGGTTCTCCACCAGTAAGAAAATCATCGCTAGTGTCACCCACACTTGCAGTCACCATATTCTCTGGCTACTATTTCTGAGGCCCTCTTTCAGTGCTCCCCATATGACAGGGCAAACGGAAATACCTAGCTTTGTGTGACAGGACACTGATCACACATATTTCCCTGAAAACCTAATCAAAGTATAGTAGAGACACAGTGATATTTTATTAAATTCTTAAGTCCACTTTAATTCCCTAAAGCACCAGCGTATAATAATATGCTAATTTCCATGGACAATGTAGCATTTTAGAATGGAATTAGGGATATATTCCAAGGAAAGGTTGAAAATCTCTCAAATCAGAGAACTGTGCCTTTATTGCTTTTCTAATATTAACATGCTCGGGGACTTTGGGCAGGTCTCTTATGCCTCTCTCAGCTTCATCTGTACCTCATTTGTAAAATAAGGAATAATACTTAACAGCTACCTCACAGGGACATACTGAAAAAATAATGAGCTAATATAGACAGGCAAGATGCTTTGAGATCTTTGGATGAAAGATCCAGCACACTAAATCCTAATTAATGTTAAAGAATTAAAGAGGCACACAAATCCTATTAAATGTATATATTTCAGAGGAATGGACCATGATATCATAAGTTATATAAAAAATCTTTTACGGTGTGAGGTATGAAAACATTAAAATACAAGATCACTTTATAAATGCCCTCTCCTTTTAGATTAAAAGCCAGTAGTGCTCAATTCCATCTTTTTTCTAAAACTTCAAAGGATAGTGAAATGTCCCATGATAGTATCTTAAAAGGAAATCTGGAGTTACCTTAAAGTCATTTTTGGATAATAAAATAGTGTAAAGTCTAAGTTTTTAAACTGCAAGAAAAAAGACCTCAGATTCATTTGACCCTCAATTCCTGTGCTCATCTACATTTTTCACGTGGGTTGAAAGCAGGCAGATGGTTAACAGCTGCCAGGAATGACAGAGTTCTAGACTAAAGGATGATGATCCATTGCTCTAATATCCTCTACTTCAAGAACTATCTTTAAGAGTTTTTTAAATCAATTTTCTTATAATTAATATTTCCTAAGGCAGATCAGCTTCCATATTAGGAAATGCTGGCCTTGATTTATGTACTAGCTTAAATCTTACCAAAGGGCATGTTTCCCATTTTAGAAATATAGTCTAAAATGCCATCTGAGAGCTAGTAGATAATACAGTCACTGTCTTATTCAAAGGCATTGTATGGAAGGTATGCAGAAATAACACAGAAATAAACATTTGTTTCAGAGTCAGAAAATGCCACTGATCCACAAGATAAGACAGATTTTAAGATCTAAGTTCTTAAATGAAGATCAATTACTCCAGATTATTGTTTGAGGCTAAAATTTTAGGCATAAATTAAAATAATAACAATAATTAATAATAATTATCTGGAGGAACAGAGGAACAGATTTTATGGATCTAGGATTCCTAACAAGAGCTATGACATTCTCATAAGGCTTAAACAGCTAAGTACAGCATCCCCTAACAGAGAAAACAATTGTCCAGAAAAATAAATACATTTGAATTAAAAGAGGTCATCGATCTCTGATTGGAATCTTGCAATTGAAATTTCTAATATCCAAATGTTACTCTGCTTTCACAGATATCAACCATTCTTTGAAAAAAGAGAGAAACCAGCCACGGGTAGAACAAATTATAGAATGTAGAATAAGATTGCCGTTTAAAAAAAAATGTAGCAGTAGAGAGATTCTAGGTCTTATATTTATGAAACCAAAACTAAATTTCAAATACAAATGAGTCATCAGGAAAGCATAACTGCAAAACTACCTGTCAGCCTACTTCCCATTCCAGGGAGGTCTGAATCAAGCACAGTGACTAGAAAGCAATGAATAATATAAACATACGCCCAAGAGGAACAGATTCTGAAAACCTGTCCCAGAAATATAAAGTTGGAAGGCATAAAGTTTTATCTATTTGTAAACCTACTTTTTAAATATTTCATCAGGACCAATAAAAAATTGAACATGACATGTGCTATCTTATTAGCACTTGGAGAAGAGTCAGTAAATGCCTCATACTGGTACCACCGCTCCCTTTTCCCTTGCCCACAGTAAACATAACTTATTGAAAAATGATAGTTTCTCACTGAGTATAGGGAGGGTTTTTGAATCCTTTTGAAAACATTGCCCCACTTAGTCACTACCTATCAACTGTAGTTGTGTTCTGAGGTGACAGCTATTTCCTATCTACAACTTAGAAACTCATAAGGAAAAGGTGCTTATAATTAAAAAGCAGTGGTTTCTTATTTACGTATTATGTTTAGCAAACACTTAAATACATACTTGTAAACGTTTTGCAAAATACCAACGATCATTCAGAGCAGCCTCATATTTATTTCATTTTGTTTTTTAATATTTGTATAAATTTATGGGGTAAACATTAATTTTGTTCCATGGATACAGTGCAGCGTGGTGAAATCAGAGGCTTTTAGGGTATCCATCACCCAAATAATATACATTGTACCCACAAAACTCTTACTGACACACCCCAACCTATCACCATGCAATTCCCATTGCTAACCATTGAAATACTTCATGCTGTTCTTTGTAGAATTTTCCAATGCATTACAGTCCATATGTTCTCAAGACTACATACTTTCATTCTAATTTGCTGCAATTTAATAACAGCTTTCCTGAAGGAGAAGAAATAAAGCACTACCATATGAATGTAATTTAATTGTAACACTGCCAAATTTTTGGTCATTAAAATATGAAAAATGTGTGTGATATATATGGACATAAGCAAAACCTTAACACTCACACTTCTACTTCTGTGAGTGGTACTTTTAAGCCAAGGGTTAAATAACACAAATTCACACATGTAGATCTCATTTTACTAGATGCTGCCAGGCATCTAATACATACACACATTTTTTAATATATAGGTGAATCCAACGTGCCCAATTCTGTGAAGGCTTATTACCACACAGTATCTTATTTTACTCTATTATAAAAAGATATTTAAATGAAACCTTTCTATTACAATATTTCAAATTTTCATGTTTTCCATAGGTAGTAATGTCTTTCCTAAGGCTTGTTCTAAGATTCTAAAGGCATTTCAACCAAAAAGAAATATATTATTTTAGTTGATACAAAATTAGAATATGATAACAATACCCTGACAAATTGAAACTGGTGGTTTGCCATGATTAACTGCAGATATTATATAGAGTTAAAAACAAGATCCCACCCCATCTTCAAACATTCATGTGTTTTCCTGACAAATATAGAAATAAATATTAATTTTCAACTTCCTGGAGGAAGCCAAGAAAGACTTATAACTTGCAGATATTACAGAGCTCAGAAATCAATAACACTGAATCATCAGAACAAAATGTAGTCCATGATTAATGTACATGTTTTTATTTTATAGGGATAAATATGAACACTGCTCCTAACTTTACGAAAGAAGAAATGCATATGCTAACAAGCACATGAAAAAGTTCTAACTCATTAGTACCTAAAATAACACAAATTAAAATAATACTCAATTTTTTGTCCATTAGATTAATATGTTTTCAACTGACTCAGGGCACATAAGACTCCCAAGGGAAAAAAAAAAAACTAACTAAAAGCTTCATTGAGAGGTTAATTCACAGTAAAATGTACATTCTAAACAAGACAATGTGAGTATCATAGGGACAAGATAACAGAAATAAAAAGCTAGAAAATAGATTAAAATATGTTAAACAGAATTAAAGACATCAAAAAATGATAAAAGTCACATTAAAAAATCACTCTAGCATGTGCATGACTTGGTGAGTGTGCCATAAGAAATATCCCATGTACTGGGTAACTAAACCAACAGAAATTTATTTTCTCACAGTTCTGGAGACTAGAAGTCTGAGATCAAGGTGTTGGCAGGTGTGGTTTCTTCTGAGGCTCTCTCCTTGACTGGCAGATGGCCACCTTCTTGGTGTGTGTTCCACACTGTCTTCTCTCTATGTGTGCTTGTGTCTGGTGCCTTAACTCTTCTTATAAAGACACAAGTCATATTGGATTGGGGCCTATCCATATGACCTCATTTTACCTTAATCATCTCTTTAAAGACCCTGTAGCCAAATATAATCACATTCTGAGATACTGGGGGCTGGGGCTTCAACGAAAGAATTTGGGAGATGGGGACATGATTTAGCCCTTTAGCCCATAACTGTATAGAAGGGAGAAAATATGACTTAAAAAAGAATAAAATAAAACTTATGGAAATAAAAAAATATAGCCTTAAATTTAAAATCTAATTGGTAGGTTAAACAGCAGAAGTTCAGTTTGGAGTTCTGAAAAGAGAATTAGTGAACTGGAAAACACCTGTGGATAACATCAATATGCACAGAGAAATAGAAAGGTGAAGGATAAGACAGAATGATTAAGAGAAACTGAGAATAGGATGAGATGGTTCAATTTATGTCTCATTGAAATTCCAGAAAGGATGTTACAGAAGTGAGAGGTAATAGTTAAAGAGATAATGGTTGAGAATTTTCCAATAGTCTGAAAGATATTGATTCTAAAATTTAGGAATACCACGAAGTTCTAAGGAAGACAAATGAAAAGAAATCCACATTTAGATGTACTGTAGTGAAGTGCAGAACTTCAAATACAAGGAGATCTTAAAAGCAGTAATGGAAGGAAAAAAATCATAAAGACATCAGCAATAATAGATGCCATAGGACAACAAAGTAATGTCTTCAAAGTGCTGATGGAAAATAATAGTCAAATTCTAATCCTATATCCAGTTATACTATCATTTAAAAGAGAATGCAAAAGGAAAAGAAAAATACTTTATATCAAAAACTTAATCATGAGTACTTCTAAGTACATTAACTGTAGATGATTTTTATTTCTTCTTTATATTTTTCTGTATTTTCAAAAATTTCTGTAATCAGTTGATTTTTTTAACCTCTATCATTTTAACATTAACAATTTACATTTACACAAAAAAATTAATTAAAACACATTCATCTTTGTTAAGACAACTGAACAGAATAACTTCATAGTCATTTTCTTCACTTTAATCAGTAATTTTTCTTTCCTGGTGTATTACATCTCAGAGCCCACTAGAATAAATATCATTCATTCAGACTTTGATTCTTTCCCAATAAAATGTGTGACCAAAAAAATAATAATAACAATTTAAGACAAGACGTGGGACTGCAATTTAGAATTCAAGTATAGCAGAATTATAAAATGTAATTAACTCAGCATTGTTGAACCAACAAACATAGAACTTTCAACTTGAAGTATGTCCTCTGGACCCCTCAGTGAAGGTTTGTTCTTTCAGCATGACATATTATGTTAGCAGTGACGGGCAAGGCCAATGAACAAAAGCAGAAATCCTGTTGGGATTCCATCCTCAGTTAATCCTAGCTTGTTTCAGAAATTACTTTCTTTTAATCACCTTCATTTTCAGTTTCTAGCATTTGCTTACCAACATCTTGATTAGTTTTTATTAACATATCTGACACTAATTATAAGCTGAGTGATGCTGCTAAATCTTTCCTTCCAAAACAATGTTCCATACACAAACATTTGAAAATAAAATCAGTAAGAAATAATCATCCACAATTATTTTTTGCAAGCACTTTTTAAATGAATAACTATCATAATTAATATGTAAAAAGTTATGCTCTTCACTAATAATTTCTTAAATTTGGGGTAACAATCAAAATATACAATGATAAATAACCCAGCTATTTTGTTTTTCAGTGTTTCTTTGGAATAGGCCAAATTTTTTTAAAAGTATATCACCTTTTTTGGTTCAAATATTACTTTCATATGAATATAAAGCTTTGACCTTGTAATTTTCAATGTTTCATTGCAATTTTACTGGCTTTTGGGCTTTGGCAGGATCCTGCTGTTTTTCTTGCAATAAAATGACTTTAAAATAACTTTCTAGCCCACACTTTACTTGGTGAGCACAGAAGATAACGGCTTTAAAAAAAATCTCTATTCAATCTATAAAACATTCTTGAGAATTTCAAGCAACCGTTTGACCTCTTTGCATGTAGAGATATGTAGGAACTTATGGACATTTCCCTCCCATTGTTTTCTATCAAATGATTCCTAGTTTATTAATATGCAATCTTTATGCATGTTAGGTAAGTACAAAAAAAAATCTCAAAGAGAGAAGTTGCAAATAAAGCCATCACACAGGAACTTATTTCAGCTCAAATTTCTATTGGAAATGCTCCCATTTCATTGATATTTCTTTAAAAGAATCTTTCTCCTTCAACATTTAATGGCATGGTTTCATTTTGCAAATAAAAGACATTTCGGTATGTGGGCTGATTTTAAAACAAACGTTCCATTTTGCATGACTGAAGACAAATGAGATTAACAAAAAAAAACAGATTACAAAATAATACTTTTCCTTTACCTCTTTGGACTAAATATTTGAGTAATAAATGCTTTGGTTCAAACACAAGGCATTACATCCAAATTGTTTAAGTGTCTCTTGTACTAGTTATTGGTTCCTACAAGGGTCTATCAATAGGGGAAATTGATGTTCTAATTTATTCCACCCAGAATTCAAATCTCTCCCTATGATAATGATTTTCTGTAAGTCACAAAGAAATGTTAGCAGATACTGATAAAAGGAGATTAACTGCAGTGGAAAGAGTCAGGTGTTCATCTGATGAAAACACTATCTCAATGTAATATAGTAGTCATGGTACACCTTTCAGCTAAATCAGGATTGGGAAACTAATGATATGCTGTTGTTGTTGTTGTTGTTGTTGTTGTTGTTGTTGTTGTTGTTACGGAGTCTCACTCTGTCGCCCAGGCTGGAGTGCAGTGACGTCATCTCAGCTCACTGAAACCTCCACATCCCGGGTTTAAGCGATTCTCATGCCTCAGCCTCCCGAATAGCTGGGACTACAGACGTGTACCACTGCACCTGACTAATTTTTGTACTTTTAGTAGAGACGGGGTTTCACCATGTTGGCCAGGCTGGCCTCAAACTCCTGACCTCAAGTGACCCACCCGCCTAGGCCTCCCAAAGTGCTGGGATTACAGGTGTGAGCCACCCCATTCAGCCATGATATACTTTTAATCCCCTCTGGTTCTGACCATTCTGGTTTCACATGCTTATGGGAGTCTATATGGGGTAACAGTGGCTTTCCAGTTTAAAAACAAAAACAAACAATTCATGGCAAGAATTCTATTATGCATTGTGAGCCAACACAAAAAAGCAAATACAGTTTATGAAAAAGTACCTATTATTAATATATGCATTACTGATATTTTTTATTCTGTTCTTTTTTGATTTTTTTAATGCTTGTTGAGTCCCATAGACTGGAGTGTAAAGTGCTAACTGTGACCTTGGACAAGTTATTTACCTTCCTTGTATCTCAGTTTTTTTCACTCTGAGTTTACAAAATTAAATGAGATAACATATGTAAAGTTCTTGGCATATCATAAGTTCTCAATGTAGATTAATTCCCTCCTGTTCACACTACTCTTTGTTACTTATATATAAAGTAAATCCTCATACTATGTTGATCAAAGCCAAATATTAAATGCCAACCATACACACACACACACACACACACACACACACACACACACACACACACGGTTGGTGCAAAAGTAATTGCAGTTTTTGCCACTGGAAGTAATGGCAAAAACCACAATTACTTTTGCACCAACCTATAAATTCATGTGCAAACTGTGATACAGGCTACAGCAGTGACTCCTAGTGTATTACACCTCGCTGTATCCATGACCCTACATGGCCCTCTTCCTCACAGACTGTGAACTTGGCCATGGGACTTACTTTGGCCAAAGAGGTATTAGCCAACATGACACAAACAGAAGTTTAAGAATTGCTCCTGCACTGGATCTTGCCCTCTTGGTGCTGGGAACTCTTTCTTGCTACTTTTAGAAGGCTGCCACCATGTAAACAAACCTGCAAAGCCTACCAGAGACTTGTAGTCCTGCAAACAGCCAGAACCACCAAACGTGTGAGTAAGGTCATCTTAAAGCATGTCAGAAAACAGCTGCTTGAGATGGGCAAAAGAATATCCAGCTAAGCCCAGCCTGAATTGCTGGCCCACAGATCAGCAATCAAATAAAATGGCTGCTGTTTCAAGCTTCTAAACATTGAGGTGGTTTATGATGCAACTCCTTTAACTGCATAGTATTTATTCAACTTTATAATAAGAATTTAAAAATGAGATCTGTTAATCTGCTTTAGAATAATAGATTAAGGATATCATTGGCCAGGGAAAATGAGGTAGCATATGGAAGGGGTCAAAATACCTTCTCCGGGAAATTTGTATAGCTCAAGTCTTTGATAGCTGAGCTTCTAAACAAAATACATAATATGTGAATACGCTCTGTGTTCTATTTGGCAATATGACAGAACAAGTAAAAGAAGAGTCATTCTATTCACAGTTTATCTCCCAGGAGAGATTGTGACTGAGGAATTTGTTCTGTGATTTTTCCTGAAAGGGATAAGCACACAAGATAATTTTTAAGAGGAAAAGAAGGTCTTCTCCCAGAATGAGCTAAGCAGAAAATATTAAGATGCCATCTCAATAATTTGTCAAGTATATGTAGGGAAGTAGATTAAATAATTACATAATGTAGAAAAGGTAGAAGGTATTATTTTTTAATGCATTTAATTTGAAAAAAAAAGGTTAGAAAACAAAGAGTATGGGGGTTTCTTAGCAGTAACCATATTTTCCTGTACCTAACGTGAAGCCAGTGTGTAGACTCAGTTTGCCTACCAGACATCTCCCTTTTGTGAACATGGATACATTAGAACCTGCTGTCATTAGCCACTCAGTAGTGCACCCATTTCCCTTATTCAGATTCACACTCACCCTGGACCCTTCTGATCATTTTGTATTCCTCGGGGAAACTATTTTAGCTGACCCACACATCTGGTTTCTCTGACATTTGTAGTCTCACCTTAAAAGAATGAACTCACATTCCTATTTATACATTAAAATGAAATTTTTAAATTTTTCATTGGCATATTGTAATTCTACATATTTACAGGGTACAATTTAGTGTTTTGATACATATATATATTGCATAATGATCAAGTCAGGGTATTTGGTGTATCCATCAACTCATGCATTTATCCTTTCTTTGTGATGAGAACATTCAAAGGCTCTCTTCTAGCTATTGTGTAATATACAATACCTTACTGTTAACCATCATGACCCTACTGTGCAATAGAACACCACAACTTACTCCTCCTATCTAATTGTAACTCTCTGCTCTTTGACCAACCTCTCCCCATTCTCTCCTCCCCCTCACCTTCCTATCTCTGGTAATCACTGTTCTACTCTCTGCTTCTATGATACCTACATTTTTTTTCTTTGCAATTCCATATATGAGTGAACATCTCTTGAAAAGGTAATTTTTGTAGTAGAACCCATTTTCTCTTCATTTAGATTTCATTTTGAGGCAATACTTTGCTCTATTGCAAACACTTGTATCTTTTTTGTAATACTAAAGAATTTTGGACTAGGTAGAGGTATTAGAAGTCAGAAGGTTTAACCAATCACTCAAAGCAGAAATCTTATCTATATTCTCCCTGATAGGCAGTCTATCTCACAGTTTCTCGAACACTTCTACCAGTAAGGAACTCATTGCTTTACCAACAAAGCAGGCACTTTAGTTTTACGTGGCTCTAACAGTTAAAAAGTTATTGCTTATATTAAGCCCCAACTGAAGCTCTATAACTATGATCCATTCATCCTTCCTCTTTCTGTGCTCCAGCACTATACAGATTAAGTCTACTCCCAATTATACATGACAGCTCTTCAAGTATTTGAAGATAGTGATAATATTCCCCAAGCTAAAACCCAGATTGAACAATTCCTGAAATAAAATGGTCAGAAAAGCCTTTATTCAAGTGGTCTGGCCTCCAAATATAATCAAATGGCCAATGAACCTTCAAGAATATAGACTTGAGATGTGGTGAAAATGTGCTAGACATGGTGTAGGAGATCGGTCAGGGTTGTGGGAAAAGTTATAAAAATTATAGGGAAAGACACTAACTTTCTTGGAAGGCCGGGAAGCTTTGCAAAGCTTTGGGGAAGAATGAGCTGAAGGCAGCTGTTCTTACCCTGGGGCAAAGGGCGAGGGCAGATAATAAGGGAATGTAAAGAAACCTATCTAGATAAATTTGTTTACTCCTGTCTCCAGAAACCAACCTTTGATCATTCACACTCAGGACTGCTCTCTACTCAGGGAGTCAACAATGTTTGTTACCCACAAATTGTGTTTGCTCCAAGCCTTTGTCATTAAATCTGTACTAAATAAATGTGAGCATCGCCGGCTTCGGGGGCTGCTAACTCTCTTCAGCCCCTAATGCCAGCAGTCCCCTAGCCTGCTCTTTCACTGGATACCTGTGTCTGAGTACTTCTTTCATCTGTTGCTTGGCCAGAGTCTGCAGGACAGACTTGGCAGGTGGTACCCCATGTGAGGAATACTGCAACAGATCACAATGGAACCCTCTAAAATGGAAGTGAAGAGACTGCACAGTCAGTAAGTCAGTAAGTCATTGGTGCCCACTCGGGATTTCCAAGTTTAAGGGAATTATTCAGGCTAGGGTTTCATCATGGGACAACAGTTATCAGCTCAAGAGCAACAGTATATAAAAGTATTGAAGCAGCTGCTTAAAGCTACCACAGCCTCAGTTTCATAGGCTCAATTAAGGGACCTAATGCAAACTGTTGTATCCCATATCCCATGGTTCCTAGAAGAAGGTACGCTAGATGTAGAACTCTGGGAACAAGTGGGAAGAAATCTTAAACAATATCATGCACAAAGGCAAAGGGTCCCAGTAACAACTCTAACATTATGGGCTTTAGTTAGGGCTGCTTTGATCCCACTCCACACAGAAGAGCCTAAATGGGAAAGGGAGGAAGAACTATCACCTACCTTACTACCTCCTCCTTCTCCCTCAGCCAAGCCATTACTGGGCAAAAATAACAAAGAGGAAATGCAGGTTTTGCCTAAGCCCCCTCCTCCAATAAATTGGAAAAAAGACAAGGGATACACTACAGCTGTGGGACCCTATCTTAGGCAAGTGTCATTAGAAGGGGAGCTCTTAGCCTGCCCAGTAATACAAGATCAACAAGGCAATCAGTTCTATGAACCCATTTCTTTTGACGCTTATCAAGAGATAAGAAAAAGCATTAGAGAAAATGGAGCCGCTAGCCCATTTACAAGAGGGTTAATTGAGGTCACTCTGCAGACCCCTTTCTAATAACGGCCACTGTTATTCCTCCCCTACCCCTGACATAGCTCTCTCAAAGTCCTATTTGGATAGAACAGTAGCCTTTAAAGGGAGAGAAATTACGAGCCCATGAATTAGTTGAGGAGCAATTTAAAGCCAGCCATATAGAATATCAAACAGCCTTTGGAATTCACCCATTTTTGTCATTCCCAAAAGATCTTGCAAATGGAGACTTTTGCATGACTTATGGGCTATCAACGCTAATTTGCAACCTATGGGGCCCCTTCAACAGGCCCTCCCTTCCCCCACAGCGATTCCTCAAGATTGGCCTATAGTTATTGTTGACTTAAAAGACTGCTTTTATACTATTCCCCTTGCAAAACAGGACAGAGAAAAATTTGCATTTACAATACCAACTATCAATAATGAAAGGCCAGCTCACCAATTTCATTGGAAAGTACTTCCTCAAGGAATGCTAAACAGTCCTACCATGTGTCAGTATCATGTAAATCAGGCTTTGCTCCCCAGTAGAAAAAAAATTTCCTAATTGCAAGATTATTCATTTTATGGATGATATTTTACTAGCAGCCCCAGTGGAGCCAGTACTTTTAAGTTTATATGCCTCTGTCATAAAGAACACACAGTTAGGAAGTTTAATCATAGTACCTGAGAAAGTAAAATTGTCTTCTCCTTGGAAGTATCTTGGATACATATTAACTTCCTGGTCAATAAGACCTCAAAAGGTTAAATACTAGCAACTTACACACCTTAAATGATTATCAAAAATTACTGGGTAATATTAATTGGCTTCGCCCCTCCTTGAACATAACTACTGATAAGTTACAAAACCTGTTTTCTATCCCAAAAGGCAATACAACCCTAGACTCTCTCAGGCATTTAACTCCTGCAGCAAAAAGGGAAATTAAGGAAATAGAGCATACTATTTCTCAGAGGCAACTAGATTGCACAGACCCAAAATATTCAGTCCAATTGTTTGTTTTTCCTACTAAACATTCCCCAACAAGATTAATAGGACAGATGGCCCCAAGGCTATACTTCCTAGAATGAGATTTTTGCTCACATACCGGGACTAAAACACTATCTCCCTATATCCAGCTAGGTAGTAAACTCATCTATACAGGCCACAGATGATGCAATCAGTTGCTAGGTTATGACCCTGATGTCATAAGAATTACTTCAAGTAAAAAGCAATTTTAAGCAATAATGCCCCTATCTCTAGATCTTCAGATAACACTCTCTGATTATACAGGCCATATAGAGCATGCCCTTTCTGCTGACAAACTAATTCAGTTCTTATCTCGTACTCCTGTAGTTGTGCCTACAAAAGTAGTTCACTCCCCCATACCTAAAGCTTTAACACCTTTTACTGACAGCTCTGGTAAAAATGGAAAAGTGGCTGTTTGGTGGAGACCACATAATTCCCTCACTCGTTCTGGACTTACTAACATTCAGAGAGCTGAAGTTAGAGCCTTAATATTGGCCCTGGAGACCTTTTCCGTTCAGCCTATCAATATTATTAATGACTCTGCTTACTCTATTTATTGCAGAACCTTGAAACAGCTCTCATTAAGTCCACTCTTGAGCCCACCCTGTGTGCACTTTTTCTTCAACTTCAGCAATTGCTGGATCAACATACACGTCCTATTTTTATCACACATATTCAAGCCCACAGCTCACTGCCTGGCCCACTGGCTTACAGTAATAATCAAGCAGACCTGCAAGTTATGACCTCACTGCTTGACCAAGCCACCCAATCACATCAATTTTTCCACCAAAACTGGAGGAACTTAACTGAACAATTTCAACTTACCCAAAGACTAGCTAAACAAATTATCCTGCAATGCCCAGATTGCCAGCTCACAGGCATGTCCCCTCCTTCAACAAGTGTTAACCCTAGAGGACTAGAACCTAATCAGTTTTGGCAAACAGATGTTACATATGTCCCTGAATTCAGAAAACTAAAACTACATATGTACATGTATCCATTGACACCTATTCTCACCTAATTAGCACACATGCTCTTCCTGGAAAGTCCAACCAATATGTTATTAAACATCTTCTCTCAACTTTTGCATTTATGGGGTGGCCCACAAAAATTAAAACTGGTAATGGTCCGACTTATGCCAGCTCACAATTTCAACTATTTTGCCACATGTGGAACATCCAACATTCCACAGGCATCCCATATAACTCTCAAGGGCAGGCCACAGTAGAATGTGTCCATTCCACTCTTAAAAATATGCTCAGAAAACAAAAAAGGGGGAATATGAGTAAGGACCCTGCAACACTACTAGCACAAGCCTTATTTACCTTTAATTTTTTAAATTTAAATAATAAATTCCAATTAGCTATAGAAAAGCACTTTGCTAAAACCTCTCTAGACATAAAACCCGCAGTTTTATGGAAAGATGTAAACAGTAATGTATGTAGTGGTCCAAACAAATTGCTAACATGGGGAAGAGAATATGCTTGTGTTCATACCCCCTCAGGTCCTCTGTGGATTCCAGCACGACACATCAAACCCATACCATGGTGTGGCTAGGACCCAACCTGGTATCAGAAATGAAGGAAATGTCCCTGCAGAACCCGCAGCCCTGGATGATGCAGCTTCCTTGGATGACACAAGCCCCGGACATTACCTAGGAAATGCTGAAGAAGACAACTCAGGAGGCTGAGTGAATCCTGCTCCAGAAACAGACACCATTCACTTCAGATAATCTGTTCCTTGCTATACTCTCTGTTGTACATCACAACTCTCATAGGGTATTTATCCTTTTTATGCTCTCGCTCTGCCTGCAACCTGCACCTGCTACACTCTATTAGGCTCATCTCTTAGATCTGCCTTTCTTCCACCCTGTTACTTGGGCAGTCTCTAATAACATAACTGCTTAGCTGAAAGGGGTTAACATACCCCTAGTGGGGGGTTCCTTAGTAACGGCACACATTGAACTGAGGTGCCAAGTAATACTACATGTCACTCCTTGATTAGAAAAGAATGTTACTGATTATACTCATGTTTGTCTTATGTTATTTACTAATTCTAGGATGCAAAGCCAGAACATGAGTTATAACCGTGGCACCTGACAAACCTGTTGCTGCACACATCTATACTCTTCAATCAACAAAACCTGATGCAAAAATCAGAAAAGGGGGAGATGTAGGAGATCAGTCAGGCTGGTAGGAAAAGTTATAAAAATTATAGGGAAAAAGGCAAACCTTCTTGGAAGGCCAGGAGGTTTTGCAAAGCTTCAGGGAAGAATGAGCTGAAAGCAGCTGTTCTTACCCTGGCAAAGGGTGAGGGCAGATAATAAGGGAATGTAAAGAAATCGATCTAGATAAATTTGTTTACTCCTGTCTCCAGAAACCAACCTTTGATGATTCGTGCTTAGGATGCTCTCTACTCAGGGGGTCGACAATGTTTATTACCCACAAATTGTGTTTGCTCCAAGCCTTTGTCATTAAATCTGTACTAAATAAATGTGAGCGTTGCCAGCTTAGGGGGGCTGCTAACTCTCTTGGGCCCCTAGTGCCAGCAGTCCCCTAGCCCACTCTTTTACTGGATACCTGTGTCTGAGAAATCCTTTCATCTGTTGCTCTGCCACAGTCTGCAGGACAGACTGGGCAACATGGTCTGATACTGCAGTGTACTATTAATTTCCTTATTTTAGAAAACAATGCTACCTATGACTCATTAGCTCCTTTAACAGTCATGTCACACTGGTGATTCCCATTTAGCCTCCAGTCGACTAGAAGTGTAAGAGCTTTACTAAAAACAAACTTCTCTATTTTTCGGGGAGATACTTAATACAAGTGTAGAATTTAAAGTTGTCTCTCATTTTAGTCCTGGTACTTTCAAGCCATCACACCATCCTATGGATACTTTTTGTAATTCTGATTCCTTTAGCTACTTCTCTCACCATCATCCCAAAGACTGATAGGCTGAGGAATCTGGCAGATCCAGAGCCCAGTGGGATGCTGCTAGATACTGTGGAGGGTCATCCAGCTATCAGTCTTTTCAGTGTATGTTTTTCCATGTCATCCTAAAGCCATAATGCTTTCTGCTTTTTAGTCCAGCATAATGAATTGTATCACAAAGCCACTGGGTTTCCAGCAAAGATCACCTTTGTTTAATGGATAAAAGCAATGTTCCCTGAGAGTCTGCTAATGTTTGGTGAATAAAAGTTTATTTTAAACAGAAGAGAATGTATTTTTCAGATATTCTATGACTTAATCACCACACTAATCCTATGAAGTAGATACGATATTATCATTTTTACTTTATACCTAGGAAAACTCCATGTAGCTAACACTGCCAGTTCTCTGGAGCGAGAAAGCCTGCATTTGAATTCTGACTCTGCCTGACATGATATCAGCTACATGATGGTCAGCAAACTACTTAACCTCTGTTAGTGGTCTGTCTCTCCTCCTAAACTGTCATGAGCATTAAATAAAATGATACACATCAATCATGTAACACAGCACCTGGCAAAGAGTTAGGTCTTGATAACTATTATCTATAATTATTATACCTGGGACAAGAGAGTTTGAGAAGTGGCAGAAGCAGGATTTGAAGCAGAGTCTGACCCCAAAACCACTACAAATATATAGAGTCAAGGGCACACAG